>NC_000001.11:242244727-242396242 GCF_000001405.40 Homo sapiens | reverse complement strand
ACAGGATAGTCCCCAGAACAAAGATTATTGGGCTCAAAATATGAATAGTGTAGAAGAGGCTCATCCACATCTGGTCCTGCCCATCACTCTCAACTCACTCTCTGCTATTTCATCCCAGACACCTTTGTCTCCAGTCATAAGGAACTGTTAGGTTGCATCATATGAAACTGCCAATATTTGATACTTTTTTTTTTGAGATGGAGTCTCATTCTTATTACCCAGGCTGGAGTGCAATGGCGCAATCTCGCCTCACTGCAACCTCTGCCTATGGGGTTCAAGCGGTTCTCCTGCCCCAGCCTCCCAAGTAGGTGGGATTACAGGCACCTGCCATCATGCTTGGCTCATTTTTGTATTTTTAGTAGAGACGGGGCTTCACCATCTTGGCCAAGCTGGTCTTGAACTCCTGACCTCATGATTCACCTGCCTTGGCCTCCCAGAGTGCTGGGATTACAGGCGTGAGCCACTGCACCCAGCCAGTAGCCCCTTCTTCACTCAGTCAGTCCCCCTTGCTTACTGTGTGAATATATTTAATCTGCTTTATCTGTGGTTCCAGGTTGCATCTCTTTATGTTCTATGTTTCCATTAGCCGTGGTCATCTATCTCATCTGTCACTCTGGAGTTTCAATACTGCCTCTCCCTTTCTTTCCAAGCCCTCTAAACCTTGCAATATCTCCAATAGTTAGTACAAATGATTTGCTTGTGGTCAAGTTTCTGTTTGTCCATATCTTTGTTGATTCTTGGGCTTATCTCCTTCATCTTGTTTCTTAATTCTCTAATGATTCCCTAGAAAAATAGAAAGTAGCTATTCATTATGATGAAGTTAAATATAAATCTCCCTGTTGTCTATAGCCAAACTGTAGTTAGCAGGTACTCAGGCAAGAAGCAATGGGATCTGTTTTTCAAGCAGGAAAGAACAGGTAGAAAACAAACAAGTTCCTCGTAGGGGAAGGGAATAAGGAAGGCGTAGTACCTAAGTGTCAAGTTGCACATCATGAAAGCTACTTGCTGCCTATGAAGTAAAACTTTAAAAATGAATTTTGATTTCTATAAATGTAAACACATTTTAGTACATTTTTAAAAATTTTAGGAATAGCTCTATTTAAAATATATACATATACATACATATATATTCATATACATACATATATATTCATATATATACATATATATTCATATATATACATATATATTCATATATACATATACATTCATATATACATATATATTCATATATATTCATATATACATATATATTCATATATATTCATATATAATCATATATATTCATATATAATCATATATATTCATATAATGTATACATATATACATATATATTCATATATAATCATATATATACATATATTCATATATATTCATATATACATATATATTCACATATGTATATATATTCACATATATGTATATATATTCACATATATACACATATATATTCACATATATACACATATATATTCACATATATACACATATATGTTCACATATATACACATATATGTTCACATATATACACATATATGTTCACATATATACACATATATGTTCACATATATACACATATATATGTTCACATATATACACATATATATGTTCACATATATACACATATATATGTTCACATATATACACATATATATGTTCACATATATACACATATATATGTTCACATATATACACATATATATGTTCACATATATACACATATATATGTTCACATATATACACATATATATGTTCACATATATACACATATATATGTTCACATATATACTCATATACACACATATATACTCATATACACACATATATACTCATATATACACACATATATACTCATATATACACACATATATACTCATATATACACACATATATACTCATATATACACACATATATACTCATATATACACACATATATACTCATATATATACTCATATATATACACATATATATACTCATACTCATATATATACACATATATATACTCATATATATACACATATATATACTCATATACACATATATATACTCATATATACTCATATATACACATATATATACTCATATATATACACATATATATACTCATATATATACACATATATATACTCATATATATACACATATATACATATATATACTCATATATATATATGTTTTTTTTTGAGATGGAGTCGTCGTCTTATCCAGGCTGGAGTTCAGTGGCGTGATCTCAGCTCACTGCAACCTCCGCCTTCCGGGTTCAAGTGATTCTCCTGCCTCAGCCTCCTGAGTAGCTGGGATTACAGGCACGCACCCCCACACCCAGCTAATTTTTGCATTTTTAGTAGAGACGGGGTTTCACCATGTTGGCCAGGCTGGTCTCGAACTCCTGACTTCAGGTAATCCACCCGCCTCGGCCTCCCAAAGTGCTGAGAATACAGGCGTGAGCCACTGCGGCCCTGCCTAAAAATACTTATATACTCATATACACACATATATACTCATATATACACACATATATACTCATATATACACACATATATACTCATATATATACACATATATACTCATATATATACACATATATACTCATATATATACACATATATATACTCATATATATACACATATATGCTCATATATATACACATATGTATACTCATATATATACACATATATACTCATATATATACACATATATATACTCACATATATACACATATATATATACTCATATATACACATATATATACTCATATATACACATATATATACTCATATATATACACATATATATACTCATATATATACACATATATATACTCATATATATACACATATATATACTCATATATATACACATATATATACTCATATATATACACATATATATACTCATATATATACACATATATATACTCATATATATACACATATATATACTCATATATATACACATATATATACTCATATATATACACATATATATACTCATATATATACACATATATATACTCATATATATATATATATTTTTTTGAGACGGAGTCGTCGTCTTATCCAGGCTGGAGTTCAGTGGCGTGATCTCAGCTCACTGCAACCTCCGCCTTCTGGGTTCAAGTGATTCTCCTGCCTCAGCCTCCTGAGTAGCTGGGATTACAGGCACGCATCCCCACACCCAGCTAATTTTTGCATTTTTAGTAGAGACGGGGTTTCACCATGTTGGCCAGGCTGGTCTCGAACTCCTGACTTCAGGTAATCCACCCGCCTCGGCCTCCCAAAGTGCTGAGAATACAGGCGTGAGCCACTGCGGCCCTGCCTAAAAATACTTTTATTGCTTACTTTGTACATGTGTTTAATTTCTTCATTATAATCCTCTAATCGAGTGGAGATAATGGAAGCAAAATGTACCAAATGCTCCTGTTTTCAAACTTTCTGGACAGAATTCCTAATTACCAAAACTCCCAAGGTGACTGCTTATTTCATCCCTGCCTTCCTACCCTCCCACCCACTGAAGGCTTCTGGCCCTGTGAGGAGATGGGCAGGTCAGGAGAGCCATTGAAGTAGCAGGCTCCTCTGAGTGCTCTAAACCCATGAGGCACTGAGAGAGGGGCCAGCCCATCAGCCTTGTCCCATCCAGACAGGTTTTTCCTCTGAGGAGCAGTGCTGCCATGGACAAGATGGGAAACCGGATTCTCACTGCAGACAGAGCTTTGGCTCAATGCTGCTTCTAACCCAGGTCAGCAGGAGAAGCCACAGTCGGCACCATCAGGAAGCTGTCACACACTTGAAAGCTTACATTCGCCTTTTCACCCCATAATTTTAACTTTTATTTTAGATTCAGGGTGAACATGTGCAGGTTGGTGACCAGGGAGTATAGAGTAACACTGAGGTTTATGGTATGAATGATCCCATCCCCCAGGTAGTGAACGTAGTACTCCATAAGTAGTTTTTCAACTCTTGCCCTCTCTCTCCCTCCTCTTTCTAGTAGTCACCAGCATCTGTTGTTGCCATCTTTATATCCATATGTACCCAGTTCTTAGCTCCCACCTGTAGGTGAGAACATGCAGTATTTGGTTGGTTGTTCCTTTGCTAATTCATTTAGGATAATGGCTTCCAGCTGCTTCCATGTTTCTACAAAGGGCATGACTTTGTTCTTTTTCATGGCTGCATAGTATTCCATGTTCTATATGTACTGTATTTTCTTTATCCAATCCACTGTTGATGGGCACCTATATTGATTCCATGCCTTTGCTATTGTGAATGGTGCTGCAATGAACATGAGTGTATGTATCTTTTTGGCAGAACAATTTACTTTTCTTTGTGTATATAACCAGTAATGGGATTGCTGAGTCAAATGGTGGTTCTGTTTTAAGTTCTTTGAGAAATCTCTGCCTTTTGTATGTTTTAGTATTCCTGTGCATGGCATTGCTGTTTGACAGCCAGACATGTTCCTCCCTAACTGCTCCCCAAAACATTGCCCAAGACAGAGCTGAGTATGTCATGTGTGCCCTGGCATCTGATTACTATTTGCTTTCTTTGCATTAAACTTTCCTTTCCATAAGGTGGATATTCTATTTCTAGGACAATCAAATACAGAATGGGTACTCGGAAACCCTGTGGAAACTTTTCTTTGGTCAAATGGGTTTTTGATATTGACTATACCTTCACTTCTGCGAGATTAAAAGAATGCGAACCTTTCTACAATTAACTTCCTGATGTCTCCCTCTCCTCCTATAAACTAAAGGAAATTCTCTGTCTAAACAATACTTGCCTTTTGTCTTTCTCTCACCTTTTGTGTGTTTAAAATATCCTTATTTTTTAAAATCAGGGTTTTTAGGAAAAAATTTTCCATTTGTTCTTTTTTTCCTATTTATGTTACTTTACCGCATTATAGTGATACTGAAATAATGATCACTGTATTGTAATGAACTCCCATACTAAACTGCAGAAAACTCCATTGCCCCAGACCCTCCTCCATAGCTTTTGACACAGATACTACAGACAGAAATACTACAACAGGAGCCACAACTTTTTCTTTTTTTTGAGACGGAGTCTCGCTCTCTCACCCAGGCTGGAGTGCAGTGGTGCAATCTCGGCTCACTGCAAGCTCCGCCTCCCGGGTTCACGCCATTCTCCTGCCTCAGCCTCCCGAGTAGCTAGGACTGCAGATACCCGCCACCACACCTGGCTAATTTTTTGTATTTTTTTTTAGTAGAGACAGGGTTTCACCATGTTAGCCAGATGGTCTCCATCTCCTGACCTCGTGATCCGCCTGCCTCAGCCTCCCAAAGTGCTGGGATTACAGGTGTGAGCCACCGCACTTGGCCCAGAGTCACAACTTTGACTACCATAAAAACTTGAATTTCATCCTTTGCTTGTCATTTTAGGTCTTAATCATGTTCCTTCTGTCATTTCTCAGGTCCTTAACATGAAGAATTGAGATTGTCTCTTGTTAGGAAGAACATAGTCTTCCTGCAGGCTAAGTCAAGCATAGTTTCAGTGGGTCTGATCAGGGACTGATTTCATGCCAAACCACATATTAAAATACAGGAACTTTATGTTTTTACTGTGACAGTACTAACATGGAATCAGATATTTTTATTCTGTTGCTTTAGCCCTCAGCTGTGCACACATCATCTCTATTATTTTCAACCTTTCTGTAATTAGAATAAACAATTACACCAAGGTCACTTTGACTTCGGCATCAAAGAAATGGTACTTTTCGGGGTTTTGCTCATGGAATGTTTTAACATTATATCCTTTTATTTGCCACCAGAATAAAGATGTAAAGGTTGAATCTAAGAACTGTGTGAGAGTTAAAAAAGAAAGTCAAGCATAGAACAAGGGAACAAATATGTTTTTAGTATTTCTCCTTGTTTCTCTCTGCTTCAGTTGACCAGAATCTCTCCTTATCTGGACAGGTTACCCTAAGAAGGAGCTTTAATAATTTGTATCTTCGAGACCAACCTGGCCAACAAGGTGAAACCCTGTCTCTGCTAAAAATATAAAAATTAGCCAGGTATGGTAGTGGGGTGCCTGTAATCCCAGCTACTCAGGAGGCTGAGGCAGGAGAATCACTTGAACCCAAGAGGCAGAGACTGCAGTGAGCTGAGATGGCGCCACTGCACTCCAGCCTGGGAGACAAAGTGAGATGGCGCCACTGCACTCCAGCCTGGGAGACAAAGTGAGACTTCATCTCAATAATAATAATAATAATTATTATTATTATTTGTATCATTATTCCTAGCAGAGTATTTGATACATTTTGTACACTCTGGCAATAGTAAATAGTGGAGTCTAAGAATTTCCTGCAGAACACCAAACTTGTATTACGGGTGAGATTATATGGCCTCTTTAGCTCATAAAAAAGAATGGTAGCCTATATTTAGGTTTAGTGGGTTCTACATAAATCCATGCTTGCTGACTCCTTGTGGCTATTAAGAGAATGCTTAAATATATTAGGGGCCCACTGTTTATTAATCCCTCATGAATCCTAAGTCTGGTCACTGTAGAGAGGCTGCTGGAGTGGATGAATATTTTTCAAGCCAGTTTGGCCTTTCTTATATCATTTTATATTGCCCAAGGAAGGGTATAGGAATTCTAAGTGGCATATTTATTTCTCCGTCTGCTGCTTGGATACAGCTCTGAAAACCTTAAACAGATTTTCCCCCCCTCAGAGTATTTGAGAGTTTTATTTTTTTCCCCAGCACAGTGAGGTATTCATTACTCTTTTGGGATTTTATTAGACACCATGTGTTAATATGGGAGCTTAATAAATATTATCTAAACAGAGTCCTTTGGAAGAGAGATATATACTTATTACATTGATGGCCCAACTTATGCAAACTGTTTTTTTGGATAACGAAAACCTTTTCAGAGTATGGGTAATTCTAAGATGCGTATTAAATTACAAATGCTCTTTATTAGTTAGAAAATGAGTCACAAGGTAACATGTATACCAGGGGGCTAGCATTTAAGATTTATAAATAATTATATTTTTACACTTAGGAAAAGTATTTACTTACAAAGTTAGGACATGAGTTACAAATCACAGTTGAAAAGTGGCTTGCAGTTTCACAGAATTTCTTACTTCCAGACTCGTGTTATTATGCCTGGTGACCTCGACATCAATTTCAAGTCTTCATTTAATACCCTAGTTTCTCAATGATTTTTTTTTTTTTTTTGAGATGGAGTCTCACTCTGTCACCAGCCTGGAGTGCAGTGGCGCAATCTTGGTTATATAATTTGATTTAACTATTTTTATTTTGTTTTATTTTATTTTTTGAGACAGAGTCTCATTCTGTCACCAGCCTGGAGTGCAATGGTGCAATCTCAGCTCACTGCAACCTCCACCTCCCGGGTTCAAGCAATTCTCTGCCTCAGGCTCCTGAGTAGCTGGGATTACAGGCCCCCGCCACCACGCCCAGTTAATTTTTGTATTTTTTAGTAGAAACGGGGTTTCACCATCCTGGCCAGGCTGGTCTTGAACTCCTGACCTCGTGATCCACCCACCACGGCCTCCCAATCTCAATGATTTTTTAGTAGTCATTTCCTCCTTACCGTCTCAGTCAGCCATTCACATGGTTGGTTACATCTTAGGTTGTATTATTAGCAAGAACAGCATCACCTGCGTACCGAACATTCTGTGTATATTTCCCCTACTATGCCGCCTCAGTAATTCTTAGCCCATTATGTGGAATTCCATCCACTACTTTTAAAAAATATCCACCACTCCCTTCAGTCTTCTGTTCCTACTTTGCCCCACTTGCCTTCCATGGTCTGTGCTTATGTTTGCGTCCTTGACTGAGTCCTTAGGTAGTTACCTAATGGAAATGACTGAAGCGTCTTCTGAGGTGAAAGTAGCTAGGGGAAAATGTCAGAGCTGTGCTGACCCATTTCACTGTAAATTCAGGACCACACATTTCACATAGGTGCTCATCACGGCACAGCCATCCTCCTACATTTTCCTAAAGCATTGACTTTCCTACTCCCTGCAAAAGGCCTCTTCATTCCTTCTTCTCTTAAACCTCACATCCCCTTCTGCAATCACACTATCGTCTAGGTTAATGGTTTTGTCTAATACTTCATTGAAGAAGGAGAAGACGACAACCCAGAGAGTTTTTGTTTCCAACGTTAAATCTGAAATGCTTTCTACCTCTGTGACAATAGTTTCTGTTGTCCCTCTGAAAATGTCTCTGATCTAATCCAAGGCAACCCCTGTGTCTGTGCCGTGGCTTTTATGATCATCGCCTTTTTCTCCTGCATTATCAATATTTCCCTTTCTGTGGGATCTTTTGTGGCAGTAAACAAACAACCTAGCAAACAAGACCAAACCTTACCTTTTCAGTCTCTGTCAACTACAGTCTTAATGCTTAGTTTTCCTTTATAATGAACGTTTCCTTAAAGAGTTGTCCATACTTTTTATTGCTACCTTCTAATTCCTGTAAACAGCTTTCGTTGTCACTTAAGTCCATATTTATTTTGATATATATCATATATAAAATAGATAAAATTTTATATAAAATAGATAAAATTTTATATAAAATAGATAAAATTTTATATAAAATAGATAAAATTTTATATAAAATAGATAAAATTTTATATAAAATAGATAAAATACAAAATATATATGTATTCTTTAAAGAATAATAAACTGAACCCTTATATACATATCACCAGCCAAAGAAATAGAGCATTTCTAGAACATTTGAAACCCTTGTAGGTATCCCTCCAATCTTATCCCTCTTCCACCCTACCCTCCGCCCTGGATGTCATCACTGTCCTAAATTCTGTGCTTCTATGCTTCCAGATTCTCAGTTCTGTTCCATTGGCATATTTTTCTATCCCTGCAGTAAGACCACATTGTCAGAATCACTTTAGCCTTGTTAGGAGTCTTGATATATGGCAGGGAAAATCTCACATTATTAATCTCCTTCAGGAGGATCTTGACTATTTTCTGGCCCTTTTGAAATACATGTACAATTTAGAATTAGCTTATCAAGTGACACACACACAACCCTGCTGGGATTTTCAGTGTATCTAATAGATGGGACACTTTGGTGAGAATGAAATTAAGTTCTTTTATCCATGAACAGGAGTATCTATTTAATTAGATCTTTTTCTTCGAACTTTTTATTGTGAAATTTTTCAAAAGAAGTAAAATGATTACTCATATATTCCCCATTTAAATTCAACAGTTGTTAAGATTTGCCAAATCTACTGTGAGTATAATTTCCCCCTTTTCCCTTTGATCATGAATTTTCAGAGTAAAGGGTTGGTGTAACAGTCTCTTCCAGTGATGACAAATTGATTTAACAAAACCCATTTGAAAATATTTTGCAGACAACATGATGCTTCCTCTACTTCCCCTAAAAATAGGGACAATGTCTACAAAACATTGTATAATACCTGTACATCAGGAAGCACATAGTCCCACTACTTCCCTAATATTCAGTCTATATTCAAATCTCAATTGTCTCGAAATTCTATTATAAAGCCCCTTTTTTCCCTAACCAGAGTACAGTCAAGAGCCATGTATTGTTACTTATTGATCTGTTTTTTTAGCCTGTTCTAGAGAAGTTCTGATACACTTATTTTTATGGTGTTGACTTCTGCAGCTCAGATGTGTTGTTGAGTGCTTTGTATTCTGAATTTGTCTGAATATGACTTTGTGATGCTTGGGACACATTTGCCTTGTTTCTCCTTCCTGTAAACTGAAAGAAGGCCTGCAGACTGGACTGGGTTCAGGTTTGCTGTGTGCCCAGCAGACTGGGTAGGTGATGCTGTGTACTTCTCAGTGCGTCACATCAGGAGGTACATGACGTCAGGTTGTCCCACTGTTACTGATGCTCACACGGATCACTTAATTAAGCTTGTGATCACCAAATATTTATATTGCAAATGTATCCTGTTTTCCTTTGATATGAGCAAGTCACCTCTAAGGTAATTATTTTGGGTCGAGTTGTGTCCCCTGTCAAAAAGATATGTTGAAGTTCTACCCCCAAGTACCTCAGAATGAGACCTTATTTGGAAATAGGATCTTTGCAGAGATAAAGTTAAAATAAAGTGGTTAGGGTGAGCCCTAATCCAATATGACTAGTGTTCTTATAAAATAGGGAAACTTGGACACAGAGACAGACACATGTAGGGGGAAGATGATGTGAAGAGACACAGGGAGAAGGTGGCTACCTACAAGCCAAGGAGAGGGTCCTGGAATGGATCCCTCCCTCAGCTCTCAGGAGGAAGCAACCTGGTCAATGCCTTGGTCCCTGAACTTCTGCATTCCAGAACCAGGAGACACTACATTTGTTACTTCAGAAATACACTCAGTGTATGGCATTTCACTACAGCAGCTTTGAAATACACTCAGTGTATGGCATTTCACTACAGCAGCTTTGGCAAACTAATACAGTAGTATTTGGCACCATGCAAATACCTCGTTGACCATCATTTTCTGATTCTAGCATTTCTTCTACATTTATTTTAAAAAGCTTTCCCTCATCATCTCAGAATAAAGCACAATTTCTCCTGAAAAGTTAGGGTAAATGCTTACTTCTTTCCCTTTAATTTTTGATTTTTAGTGTTGGGGTGATCAGACCCAACACCAGGTCGTGGGGGTGACAAAGTCCGGCGGAGTCAAAGGATTGAGAAAAAGACAGTTTGAGAGAGGGAAGTGGGACTAGGGAGCCATCGCAATCATGGAGGCTGCGAAGGCCCCAAGCTCTGGGAGCCCATGCTATTTATTGGTAATCCAACAAAGAAACAGGTGGTGAGAATGTGGAGGTGGAAAGGGCAGGTGCATGATCCATAGCTGTGAGTTTAGCATTTATGAGGCACATGTACTTGAGATAATGGTAATACAATCGATCTAGGAGCCTAGGAGGGCTAGAAGCAAGGAGCCAGCAAGTCTAGACACATTCCAGAGGACATTATGCAAGCCCTGCCTCAGTTTCCCTCCCAACACTCAGCTTTTCCCCAACATTTTAGAATAAGGAATTGGTGTAATAATGATACTCAGTAATGAAAATTTTCATTTTTCTTTTCTTCCCTTTGTTTTTTGATTATCACTGGACTTACAGATTTTTAATTTATTTACTGTTTATAGTGACTTATAGTCATTAAGTATTCCTTTTGCTACTCAAAGTGTCCCGAATTTGGTTGGTGATTTTAAACTGATTCTTGGATCCTTTTGACATGTTCCAGTGGTTGTTGATAGCTTCCTTGCTTTTTGGCACAAAAGAATATCTCAGGCTCACCTGGTACTTTTCCTTCCTCCGACTCAGAATTCGCCATGTGTCCTACTGATGAATATTTATTTCCCAAGATATTACTACTAGCAAGAATCCCATATGAACAATTTTTTGCATGTGTTGTTTCTTTTAGTGAAGGTATATCTTCAAGGTAGATTTCCAGAGAGAGAGTACTGCTTCATCAAAAGGTAATTCAAATTTTTTATTTTCATCCTGGAGATTCTTTTAAGAAGAAAAATGATGTTAAGGAGAAATAGGTGGTAACCCAATCACACCAAGAGAACTGGCTATCCAAACAAATGAGATCGTATCACATTTCACAAAACGCTTGCTACAGTTTGCGTAGATTGTTTGTATCCAAGGCAGAAATCCTGGAGACCATGCTGAAGTGTAAATGAATAAGACGAAGCGTCATTGTGGCAATGTTAATTCACTTGGAAGGCATATCCCAAAGGAAGACCAAGGAATTGGATTTAGCCAGTGGATACAATTCTTTAATGTTCTGGTGTTGGATGAAGCAGAAATTTTTGGACACGAAATTTGATGTGACTATGAATACCATTCTAAAATTTTTGCCAAAGCAGAGAGAATACATCTTTCACCAGCCCCTCAGAACTCAGGAAGTGGAAAAGCTGGGATCCAGTCTGGATCCCTGTGAGGGGAAGTGGCTGTAGCCAGCAACACATGGAAACTCCCAGCCACCTGTAGTTTCTTTCACCTTTGTTACCCAGTATGTACAGAAGAGAATGTAATTTAATGGTGCGTTTTCTTCTAACTCAGAGCCAGGAAAATCATCTGGTTATCAATCAGTCATTGGAACTGGTTGGAATATTGTGGAAAGACTCTGGTGATCCTGAGAAGATTATAAAGATAACAAGAAACACAAACACAAATTCTGCAAATTGCAAAGTGGAATCTTAAAGTCCCCAGATGCAGTGGCTCAGCCGTTGCCGAAGTCAGCGGGATTTTGCAGCGGATTCCTCTAGCAATGCAAGTGCTCTTGTGTTGGGACTCTGTGTCAGGCAGCCTGAGGTGACAGTGGAAGCCAAGTGCTTGGATTTTTACCTTCCAGAAGTACATACACCAGTTTCCTTGTATTTTAACAAACAAGCAAACAAAAACAGTACATGGAAGAAACCTCAGGAAAATGCAGTGGGTCTTTTCCAAAGTCCTGCCAGTCCAGAGCTGTGTTTGAAAGGCGAAAGATTTTTGTGTCATATGCTTAAGATTATGCAAAGCCTGAATGCAGCCTCGTCTTCAAATTAAAGAATCTTGATTTTTCTAGTCTTGGTGAGATTTTGCCCTTCTAAGGATGCCCAAAATGCTAGGACTAAGGGGAAAGTAGTCTGCAGATTTTGTATTTATAAAAACTGACACAGCCAGCTTTCATTTAAAGATAAAATTAGACAAAAGCTTAGGCAGAAGCTTCTGCTACTGCAAAGAAAAGAAAAAATTTAACAGAAAATGAGGGAGAAAGATATTTATAAAAATAAAGCATGGTCCAAGCAGAAGCTGCCACTCCCCCTAGAAAAAGGAAAAGAAGGAAAAAAAGTAAATGAAAAACAAGGAAAAAGAGAAAAGGGGTTTTGATATAAAAATGAGGACATAGACAAACTTCTTAAATATACTAAAGTCTTGAAAGTTAAAAATAAATTGAATTAATAAAGGAAACAATTTGAGATGTCATCGTTACACTTTGTATACGTGTGTCAAAATATCACACTGTTTCCCATAAAAATGTACATTGATTGTGTCAGTTAAAAATAATTATAAAAGCAAAAATAAATTTTAAAAAATGAGAAGTAATTACTAATGAGAGATGAAAAAAATTCAAGATAAAAAACGTGGGACTCTCAGAACTGAGATAGAATCGCTGATTCCATTCCAGCAGCTGCTAAGCATGAGAGAAAGGGAAAGTGCAGGAGAATGATGTAGTAGATCTACATTTGTTAGACAGCTGACATTTGTTTCTACCACAAATCAAAATTCAAGGAAGAAGCTAATTCTGTCCTGAAAGCTATCACTTTAAATCTAAGAGAAATGATTTTTACACCTGCAAATATTTTGCTAAAGACATATCAGTCCTTGAAGACATTTAACAGAAGAGATGTAAAACCTTTTTGGATATAATTAATAACCATCAATATTTATTTTGATGAAACATATATAATTAAAGCTCTCATTTTCCTGAGGGTGCTTTATACCTATTTTTAATATAAAATACTAATGTAATAAATGTCTTAACTGTTTTATATGTTTTCAATCAGGAAGGTTTCTCCTGATAATTAGTTCTCCCTACCGTTGCCAGAAAGACATTTTCCATTCATTGTTCAGTGCTTCTCCAACCTTCCTTACCACACCAGTAAAAATGCTTTTATCAAGCTCTTTCTACAATCTCCTTGAAGCCAAGCCTGTTAGGCACTTCTCTTTCTTGATTTGACAGCTTAGCAACTTGGGGCAGAGTTAAATGTTCCCTCCTGCTTGAAACACTGTATTTTCTTAGCTTCCAGGCCACCACTGTCACCTAATTACATTCCCACCTCACAGTCTCTCCTGTCTTTCTGTTCTTGGCACATCCTCCTCTGACCTACCACTCTCTGACACAGTGCTGTAGGGCTTGGCCTCAAGCTCACTTTTCATGTGTATCTCCATTCTTTCCCTTGATGATCTCTTTTAGTCCCACAATATCAAATGCCATGTTCAATGCAGCCAATGATGTCAATCTTCACCTACTTACTTGGCATGGCCCATTGGATATTAACAGGAATCTCATATAAAACTTCCAAAATACAACCCTCGATAACTTTCACCTCATTCCAAACCTCTTCTATGTTCAGTTTTTTGTTTTGTTTTTTTTTTTGCTGTCAAAGTCTCCGCTATCAGTTGCCTGAGTCAAACCCCGGGAATCACCCACTGTTTCTCCTTTCCCTCTCACCCACCCCAAACAGCCAATGCGTCGGCTACCTCTCCAGTTCTAACTCCAAGACAAATTTTGGATTCTGTCACTTACTTTTATCTCTTAAGTCGTTTGTCTCTTTTCTGAACTGGTGAATAGGTGGACTCCTAGCTGTTCTTCTGGATTCTACTCTCGTCCTTCTCAAGTCTATTCTCTGCCAACAGCCAGAGCAATAGATCTGAAAAGTTTAAGCACCCTTCCTATTTTCCTCCCCTAACACTTGTTGGAGGCACCCGTGGGTTTGGAGTTAAGTGGGGAAGCTGTTTGAGGGAGGCAATAGTCTAGCAGGTTGGAAGATTGATTATATATAGGGGAATTGAACAAATATATACAAATATTAAATATACTGGGAGCCAGGTTTCTTACTATCAGTGAAGAGAATTTTTACAAAAATAAAAAGGAGAAGTGAAAAATGAACTTTGGATGTGAACTGGAATTTGAGATGGTGGGAACCCATGGTTTTAAAGTTCTTCAACTTTTATTTTAAGTTCCAGGGTACATGTCCAGGATGTGCAGGTTTGTTACATGGGTAAATGTGTGCCCTGTGATGGCTTGCTGTACAGATCAACCATCACCTAGGTATTAAGCTCAGCATTCTTTAGCTATTCCTGCCTCCTTCCCCCTCCCTCACCCCCAACCACCTATAGGCCCTAGTGTGTGTTGTTTCCCTCCCTGTGTCCATGTATCGTTCAGCTCCCACTTATAAGTGAGAACATGCGGTGTTTGGTTTTCTTTTCCTGAGTTAGTTTGCCAAGGATAATGGCCTCCAGCTCCATTCATATCCCTCCAAAGGACATGATCTTGTTCCTTTTTATGACTGCATAATATTCCATGGGGCATATGTGCAACATTTTCTTTATCCAGTCTATCATTGATGGGCATTTGGATTGATTCCATGTCTTTGCTATTGTGAATAGTGCTGCAGTGAACATATGCATGCATGTGTCTTTATAATAGAATGATTTATATTCCTTTGAGTATATACCCAGTAATGGGATTGCTGGGTCAAATGGTATTTCTGGTTCTAGATCTTTGAGGAATTGTCACACTGTCTTCCGCAATGGTTGAACTAATTTATATTCCCATCAACAGTGTAAAAGTGTTCCTTTTTCCATGCAACCTCACCAGCATCTGTTGTTTCTTGACTTTTTAATAATCGCCATTCTGACTAACATGAGATGACATCTCATTGTGGTTTTGATTTGCATTTCTCTAATGATCAGTGATGTTGAGCTTATTTTCATATTTGGCCACATGAATGTCTTCTTTTGAGAAGTGTCTGTTCATGCCCTTTGCCCACTTTTTAATGGAGTTGTTTTTTTTTCTCTTCTTTCTTGCAAATTTAAGTTTCTTATAGACTCTGGATATTAGCCCTTTGTCAAATGGATAGATTACAAAAATTTTCTTCCATTTTGTAGGTTGTCTGGAACTCATGGTTATTAATATACATAGATAGATAAATGTCAAAATAAATGCATGATATGTGCGTTTATTTCCTAGCTTTGTGCTTTGAGAGGGTTTGGGAGAAGCAACACCCCAAATAACATTGAGCATTCTTAGTACTTCCATCTTGGTTTCTAAATAATATTTTCCATTACAGAAAACACAGGAATCCTTAGAGGGAAGACTGTTTCTAGGGTTGCAGCAGTGATAGTATGAGGTGTGCCTGGAACACCTTGTCGTGCCATAAAGTAACACAATAGCTATGCGGTGTTGTTGAAAGGAATAACCTTTCCACTGAAATACTCCAAAGGCAGAAAAGAGCACATTGTTACTCCCAGGAGCTTCCCATTGTAAGTGAGAAATTTTGTAGTTGTCTCGTGTGTTGTCTAACCTTCATATTATAATTTTACTGTCACCATATTATGAAAAGTGAAGAATTTCCCTAAATGTTAGCTCTCTTTCATAGTTTGCCTAGAAATGTCATCCCATTGGTTTGCCATAGAACCCCCAAATGCCCTGGTATTCTAAAGTGTCCTCATGAAAATCACAGATAATACACTTGTTCTTAGGCTAAAGGCCAAGAAGCAATAGCCACAGATAATAAATGAAGTATGTTGTATAATCTTATTAATACCCATTAATATGTTAGTGTGGATCCATTTGTGTGGGTTTTGTTGAGAACTGAAGAAAAGCTGGGGCTGTAAAAGGTAAACTGGGTCATAGAATAAAAGCAGATGCTTGGAGCAATAAGTAAAGTGTCTCAGCCTCTGAACATAACTTTTTGCATAAATATATTGGGAGGACAGTAAAAAGTGGATTGGGACGTATACTCTCCCTGAACTTAGGGGAAGTAATATAACTGATAAAAGAGGTCAACCTGTCAGAAAAAGAAATAGCCACTGCAAAAAATGGAAACTGCATGTGTTTCTGTTTGATCTAAGACAGCGTAAAACTCAAAGTTTTTTTTTTTAAAGTAGTAAACAAAAAGCAATGAAGAGGGCTCTGCTGTAACTACTGTCGATTGTATGCCCATAAAACTTTTCCTGGATGCTATTGTGCTCAAGGTTCATGTGAAGATTTGCACATTTTATGTTTCTTGGAACACAGTTTTTCCCTTCTTCCTTAGATCTGATATGTTAGCAATGGCTGGTGGTGCCCCCATTCCCAAATTTATACACATGGCTTTATTTGCACAAACCTTTGACATTAGGCAGGGTGAAACCAGGTACGTGCAGAGAAGAATAGGCCAAGAGGGTAAGGAGTGGACAACCAAGGTCCTGGTGTGCTCTAGCATGTGAGCCATCTGAAGGGTAGCTCAGTAGATTATAACTAAGAACATAGATTTTACCTGGGTACGCAAGTCTCTGAATGTGGGTGGCCTCAGTAAACACCATAGACAGAATGGCAAACTCCCTGTTACATTTAAGTTGAGTGGAAGCCTCGTTACTCCATGTCTGCCACTGCTGGACAGATATATTAAGCTAGTTGCTTCCTAGGCAGGAGAAGCAGAAGTACCATCTAAAATGGTAAGTTTTGCCTATTGGAATGTGGTGGAAAAGTTCTGAAGTGTGAAAGACTAGGAATGAGAGGAGAGGGAACCAGGGGCTCAGAGAAAGGCTTTGGATTATTTAGGGAGAGACCTAAGTAGGAAGGAAAAGCTGATAAAGTTCAAACCTTCCAGTTGTTGGTTGTTTTCCTTTTTTCTTCTCTCTCTTTTTTTTAACGTATTTTTTATTGTTTTATTTTTATTTTTGAGAGTCTCACTCTGTCACCCAGATTGGAGTGCAGTGGTGTGATCTCTGCTCACTGCAACCTCCACCTCCCAGGTTCAAGTGATTCTCATGTCTCAGTCTCCTGAGTAGCTGGGATTACAGGCATGCACCAACACACCCAGCTAATTTTTGTATTTTTTGTAGAGACAGGGTTTTGTCGTGCTGGCCAGGCTGATCTTGAACACTTGGCCTCAAGTGATTGACCTGCCTCAGCCTACCAAAGTGCTGGGATTACAGGTGCAAGCCACCATGCCTGGATGGTTTTTTTAATTGTTTTTTATTGTGGTAAAATATGTATAACATAAAATTTACCATTTTAACCATTTTAAGTGTACAGTTCAGTAGTATTAAGTACATTCACGTTGTTGTGCTGTCATTGCCACCATCCATCCACAGAACTCTTTTCATCTTGCAGACCTGAAATTCTATACCCATTAAGCAATTGCTCCCCATTCCTCCTTTTTCCCTAGCCCCTGGTAATCACTGTTCTACTTTTTTCTCTTTGAATTTGGCTACACTAAGTACCTCGTGTAAGTGGAAATCATACATTATCCTTTTGTGTCAGGATTATTTCACTTAGCGTAATGTTTTCAAGGTTCACTCGTTGTGGCATGTGTTAGAATTTCCTTCTCTTTTAAGGCAGAATAATATTTTGTCCTATGTGCTTATCACATTTTGTCGATCCATTCATCTCCTAATTTGAGTTGTTTCTACATTTTGGCTGTTGCAAATAATGCTGCTATGAACATTGTTGTACATTTCTCTGTTTGAGTCCCTGCTTTCCATTCTTTTTGATGTATACCTAAAAGTGGAATTACTGGATCATAAGGTGATCTTATCTTAAATTTTTCTGAGAAACCACCACACTATCTTTCACAGTGGTTGCAACATTTTACATTCCCACCAACAATGTATAGGGTTCCGATTTCTCCACCTCCTTACTAATATTTGTTATTTTCCGTTTTTTGTATACTGGCTGTCCTAATAGTGTGAAGTATCTAATTGTGGTTTTGATTTGCATTTTTCTATAGTGATGTTGAACATCTTTTCATGTGCTTATTAATCATTTGTGTATTTTCTTTGGAGAAATGTCCATTGAACTCCTTTGCTCATTTTTAAATTGAGTTGTTTGTATTTTTTGTTGTTTGTTTTATTTATTTATTTATTTACCTGCTTTTTTCCCCCATGAGCTGTACATGTTTGGGATATCAACCTTCCTATGTGAGGTTGTACTGGGACCAGGGTCATGTCTCTATCTAGAGTATGAAATCGTATTGCTTAGACTGAGTGGCATGGCGTCCAACCTCAGAGGCTTTTGTTGGAAGAAGCTGTGTTTACTATTAAAGAATTAAAGAAATGACAGATGCCACCAGTGAGGAGGAAACAAAAGAAGACACCAAGGTCCCCAGTCCCAAGCGGAAGTTAGAAGAACCAGTTTTGGAGTTCAGGTCTCCCTGAGGAGCAATCACTCAACCACTGAAAAAGCTGAAAATCAATGATTTTAAGGTTCACAAGTGTGCCGTGTGTGGCTTCACCACTGAAAACCTGCTGCAGTTCCACGAACACGTCCCTCAGCACAAATCGGATGGTTCTTCCTACCAGTGCCGGGAGTGTGGCCTCTGCTACACGTCTCACGTCTCTCTCTCCAGACACCTCTTCATCGTACACAAGTTAAAGGAACCTCAGCCAGTGTCCAAGCAAAATGGGGCTGGGGAAGATAACCAACAGGAGAACAAACCCAGCCACGAGGATGACTCCCCTGATGGCACCGTGTCAGACAGAAAGTGCAAAGTGTGCGCAAAAACTTTTGAAACTGAAGCTGCCTCAAATACTCACATGCGGATACACGGCATGGCCTTCATCAAATCCAAAAGGATGAGCTCAGCCGAGAAATAGCCACAGATGATCCATGAGGAAAATCCCTGTCCACATTGGAATAAAAAAGACATTTTTGTTACAAAAAGTTTGCAGTGGGATAATAGAATTAACAGTACTGTCTAGGCTGTTGCAATATATTCTCTTTCAACGTACCTTCCTTCACCTCGTCGTATATATCCTCGATAAGTATTAAAACAGTATTTGCGTTTAAAAGAGTTTGTATATATTTAAATGAACAACTTTTTATACTCTTTGTTACATGTTTGTATCAGTATTTAGTGGAAAACCATTTGAGTTGTTTTGGGTTAGAATTTTTCTTTTTGTACTGTTTCTTTAAAACAGAGTTCTTAGTAACAAGGGCAGTTCCTGAATTCAAATAAACCATTTTGTATGTTTGGATTTTGAATGGGTTAACTAATTACAGGCTAAAATAATGCCTTTTTTAGTGTTTTTAATTGTTAGAATTCACTACATAAATAGTAAGTAATTGTGGGTCTCAAAAACACTAGGAACTTTTAAGTGTCTCAGCACTTCCTCGATGTGCCTGCCCTCAGGAAGTGAGTTCACATTTGAGACAACTGCACTCCAGTGTGGGCGTGCCTTTGTCTTCAGGCCACGCCGAAGGGTGTTTAAAGCAGTCTTGCAGGTTGCTCGTTTCCCAGCCGTGGATAAAAACTGAAGCCAGGAATCTAATAAGGAAGGCTGATTTCCTCAGTTCCATTTTGAGGAATGGGGAAGGCTATTCTAAAGAAAAAAATGGGACTTGTTTTCTCAGCAGACCTGCAAGGCTGGCTTTAAGAGCACAAGGAGGGAAAGTAACGAAAGGGCTGGACTACTATAAAAGTTGCAAATACGTAGTTAGACCAATAGATTTATATAATCAGGTTTTTGTCATGTAATTTATTAAATATTACAGAAACACAACTAAGAATATCAAGTATTTCTCTGGCTCTTGACAGAAAAAAATCAGTTGACTTAACCCTTTGCTGTCAAAAGAGTTGGCGTTTCCTGTTCTGGGTGCTGCTGCCAAATGTTCTGGTACTTAGAGTTGGGATGTGCAACTTCAACCACCGACTTATCAATGCAGCCGCCTGTGTATTGCAATTGGCCGTTACCTTAAGCACTGAGCCACCCGGGTTTAGTTCAGCCATTTCAAGAAGTATATTTAATGTTGGTAGTTCTGCTTTATTAAAATGCAACAGAGATACTCTTCTGGCCCTTCCGTTTATAGTTCTCTGAGAGAGTTCTATTTTTTGGTTTTGTTTTGTGTTTTCTTTTGCATTTTATATCTTGTATTTATCCCTCAACATGTTTTGTACTTATTTTTTTAAGTAAAGGAATTCTTTTGTGTATATATAGATACTTGCATGATATACTGTAGTCAACGTTCGGTTCCTCGAAAGGTCTTGCTGCTGTCAGGTGTTATGCACTCCATCCATCATAACTGCATGAAACACATTTCATTTGTAGATAAACGTGGGACATTTGGCCCTTGTAAAAAAAATTAAAGTCTCCTCTGGGAGGCAAGCAGTTATGAAATCCCAATTTGATGCCCTTGCAGAGCCAGCAGGGCTGCTCAGACCTTTCTAAAGAAAACTGGATAGCACAGCTCTTTGGGTTTGCCTGAGAAGAATGGGGGGACTTTAAAATGAGGCAGACGGCACGGCTGACTGACTGCACAGTGGCATCCAAGGTATAGCTGCCAGAATAGCACCATTCCCTCCAGATGCAGCCGTACACAAACCTCTAGCCTGTTGCCACTACCTGCAGACTCTGAGGGAGAGGCTAGGACGTGCTTGGTAGGGACAGGCTGGATGGTTACGCAGCTCGGGGATATTGACCAAAGAGAGAGGGTTAGGATAGATGAGAGCAGGGAATGACAGCCAGGTGTGCAAAATGGCATTGTAAACTGTAAAGCCACAGGGAAATAGGTGCTGGTGATTGCTGTCCCTGTGTGTAAAACTGTAGGGGCCAAGGCCCTTGACCCCTGAAGCTTTGCTGAAAAAAATCAACTCACAAAAGGCAGATTAATTAGAGAAAGACATACAAATTTATTGCATCAACACGGGAGCCCCTCAGAATGAAGACTCAAGGATATGCTGTAAATTGTCCATTTTTGGGCTTAAGTTTAACAAAGTATGAACAGTGTGTAGAAATATAATTAGACAAAAAGGGTAAGATCTAATGCTAATAGATGGAGAGAGGAAACCCAGCAAGGCTTGTCTGTCTAGATTCTTCTTGGCCTCTCTGTGTAACGTTTCTTCCTTCTGGGTGTGGGGCAGGGCTGTCTCTGGAAAGGGGTCTTAACACCCACATAATTTCTTTATGGCCAGTTTTTACACAGAAAGGCAAAGGGGAACGTTATAGTAATATTTTTAGGTTTCATGGCTGGCTTTAGGTTCTGGTTTCTTTAGTGTTCTGGTTTCTGTGACAAGCCCTGGGGGAGAATGGTATTGAGAGATAGGCGAGCAGGTGAAGGTCAAAGAAAAATGTTTGCTTCTCTGAGGGCTTCATTTAGAGATATTGTTTTCTGAGCCACAAGAAAACCTTGGTGATGAAGGAAAATGTCAGCCTCTCCGATCAATGGAGGAACTGAAAAAGCATTTCTCCCAGGAAAGAGGAAGAACGCATATGTAAACCATGCCTACCGTTTTCCTTTTCCTGGTTCTGTGATCTTCTAATAACTTATTCTGTGTTTTAGGAGTTCAGGTGGTTTGTGTTGCTTTTGAGGGCATAATAAATATGTCGTGGTACAGGAGCACAAAGAATTGACATGCAATTGCTATCAATGACTGAAAGAGAGGAAGATGTATGCACAGCCTGACAGCAACTCCACAGACCTTTCTTTCACCTTGTGACCGTAGTAAACCTGCACTCTCCTTGTAGATAGTGATGGCTGTATGAACAGCGACCAGAGAAAACTTTGTGGCTCAATGTGGTGCTTTGTTCCGACATTCTTTTTTTTTGTTTTTATTATACTTTAAGTTCTAGGGTACATGTGCACAACATGCAGGTTTGTTACATACGTATACATGTGCCATGTTGGTGTGCTGCACACATTAACTCGTCATTTACATTATATCTCCTATATTATATATATATATCTCCTAATGCTATCCCTCTCACCTCCCCCCACTGCACAACAGGCCCTGGTGTGTGATGTTCCCCTTCTTGTGTCCAAGTGTTCTCATTGTTCAATTCCCACCTATGAGTGAGAACGTGCGGTGTTTGGTTTTCTGTCCTTGCGATAGTTTGCTGAGAATGATGATTTCCAGTTTCATCCATGTCCCTACAAAGGACACGAACTCATCCTTTTTTATGGCTGCATAGTATTCCATGGTGTATATGTGCCACGTTTTCTTAATCCAGTCTATCATTGATGGACATTTCGGTTGGTTCCAGGTCTCTGCTATTGTGAATAGCGCCACAATAAACATACGTGAGCATGTGTCTTTATAGCAGCATGATTTAAAATCCTTTGGGTATATACCCAGTAATGGGATTGCTGGGTCAAATGGTATTTCTAGTTCTAGATCCTTGAGGAATCGCCACACTGTCTTCCACAATGGTTGAACTAGTTTACAGTCCTACCAACAGTGTAAAAGTGTTCCTGTTTCTCCACATCCTCTCCAGCACCTGTTGTTTCCTGACTTTTTAATGATCGCCATTCTAACTGGTATGAGATGGTATCTCATTGTGGTTTTGATTTGCGTTTCTCTGATAGCCAGTGATGATGAGCATTTTTTCACGTGTCTGTTGGCTGCATAAATGTCTTCTTTGAGAAGTGTCTGTTCATCAAAAACTGTCCTTCGCCCACTTTTTGATGGGGTTGTTGTTTTTTTCTTGTAAATTTGTTTGAGTTCTTTGTAGATTATGGATATTAGCCCTTTGTCCGATGAGTAGATTGCAAAAATTTTCTCCCATTCTGTAGTTTGCCTGTTCACTCTGATGGTAGTTTCTTTTGCTGTGCAGAAGCTCTTTAGTTTAATTAGATCCCATTTGTCAATTCTGGCTTTTGTTGCCGTTGCTTTTGGTGTTTTAGACATGAAGTCCTTGCCCATGCCTATGTCCTGAATGGTATTGCCTAGGTTTTCTTCTAGGGTTTTTATGGTTTTAGGTCTGACATTTAAGTCTTTAATCCATCTTGAATTAATTTTTGTATAAGGTGTAAGGAAGGGATCCAGTTTCAGCTTTCTACATATGGCTAGCCAGTTTTCCCAGCACCATTTATTAAATCGGGAATCCTTTCCCCATTTCTTGTTTTTGTCAGGTTTGTCAAAGATCAGATGGTTGTACATGTGTGGTAATATTTCTGAGGGCTCTGTTCTGTTTGATTGGTCTATATCTCTGTTTTGGTACCAGTGCCATGCTGTTTTGGTTACTGTAATCTTGTAGTATAGTTTGAAGTCAGGTAGCGTGATGCCTCCAGCTTTGTTCTTTTGGCTTAGGATTGACTTGGCAATGCGGGCTCTTTTTTGGTTCCATATGAACTTTAAAGTAATTTTTTCCAATTCTGTGAAGAAAGTCATTGGTAGCTTGATGGGGATGGCATTGAATCTGTAAATTACCTTGGGCAGTATGGCCATTTTCACGATATTGATTCTTCCTATCCATGAGACATTCTTACACTCTACCTGGCTCCACAAAGCAGGGCTTTTAGAGATCATCCTGCTGGTGTGTGGAAATAGCTGTGCTATGGGCATGGCTTATGATGGGCTTTTACCTGAGTCTTTGAAAAAACAGATAAATTTAAAAAATAATAATGATGAAGAGAAGGGAAATTTAGGAATATACAGGAGCTGCAGGCTACATTTTTATTCCTTCAGTGATGTAAGGTCCTCTACATCTTCAATGAGAACACACGGACACAGGGAGGGGAACATCACACACCAGGGCCTGTCAGGGCGGGGGTGTGGGGAGGGTGGTAGGAGGGATAGCATTAGGAGAAATACTTAATATAGATGACGGGTTGATGAGTGCAGCAAAGCAGCATGACACATATATACCTATGTAGCAAACCTGCACGTTCTGCACATGTACCCCAGAACTTAAAGTATAATTAAAAAAAAAAACTTTTAAAAAAAGCAGGCAAAAAACTAAAATGTTTTTCTTCCTCTCTTCCTTCTACCACTGAGGTCACTCTATATTATAAGATTGCATTTCATTATCTATTGCCTCAGGATGTCATCATTTGTATTTCTGTAGCCCCCTTGTAATCAGAGAAGAGGGATCATTTCTTCTGCAGGGAAAGCCCCATGCAAGCTCTGCCCTGGATTGGGCATTGAATCAAGAGGAGGTTTGGGTGTCAGGGAGCATTGGGAGATTTGAAAGAAAACAAGAGCAATGGTGGGTTTGGAAAGTGGTGAAGGGATAAATAAAGGAGGTCCAGAGAGAGAGAGAGATTGAAAGAAGGAGGGGGATAAGGGATGGAGAAAGGAGTTAGGGCAGAGGTGATAGGGAAAGGTGTTTTGATGATTCAGTACGCTTCTGTTCATCACATGTCTTCCCATGTTAATAGGAACTTCCTAAAAATTAGTGCTGTCTTGTTAAGTAGTGAGCTTTTGGTAGCTTGTAGCACCCAAGCAGAGAAGGAAGATCTCATCAGTCAGGAGTGCAGAAGCTCAGGTGTCTGTACTGACGGCAAAGTTAGATTAGATGGTTTAAAGGTTCTCTCTCACCCTAACTCTAAGCCTCTCTCAGTGCACTCTTATAAAAGTGTGTGCGTGTGTGTGTTCCTTCTAAAATAAGGAGAAACTGAACACTAGTGCTACTAAAGATAAATTTTGCTTCTTCATTACTTGCCAGTTACACCCGAAGTCAATCCTAACTTTGTCTTTGCTTTTTAATGAGCTCAAAATAAAGATTGTTGGGTTTTGTCAGCAGTGTTTTTGCCCCTTAACTGGATGAAATACCAACCTTTGCAGTGAACAGAAAACAGGTAATTTAGAAAAAGAAACATAAAACAATCATAACTGACAGACTTCAGAATAAATCTCCTATCACAGAAAGTTGAAAGAACTTGGACTTATTTTGATATATTGCAAGAGTCAAAGCCTTTTCAACTTGTTAAAAACAGAGTGCAGAATACAGATGGCCAAAATAGCCCTCACCTTATCAAAGACCAGTTGGCATTTTGTCATTTTTTTCACTTTTATCTATAATATAGGGGAGGGGGATAGAGAACATGAAAGCGTAATTTTTAGCTGTTAAGTATTGACTCTTCCTATTGACATTGACAGTGTGTTCTTGTGCATTCACTAACATTCAAAATAGCTTATTTCACTTTATAGTGAGTACAGAGGGAATCCCTAATTCTCTACTGCAGGAATGAGGTGTGCATGGAAGGAAGGGTGGGAGACACCAGAACTGGTCTACTCAAGTGGAACTCTTCTGTGAAATGGGTCACAAACACAGCCATTAATGCCCCCTCCCCTGGCCCCTGGCTCAGCCCTCTGTACTATTAGAATGGCACATCTATTCTGTCTGCATCTCTCTCTCTCTGCATCTCTCTTTCCCCTCACCCCTCACCCGTAAGGTCCTTAAGGGCAGAGACTCTCTTAAGAGTGAGGCCACATTTCTGAATTGTCAGTATTATAAGCGCAGTGCATCATAACAAGTGTTAGATGCCCACAGAGTATTTTAAATGGGATGAAACACATTTTTCTTCTCTTGCCTCATGCCACCAGTGGCTGCATGTAGAAAGCAAGGAACTAAATAAGTTCATTTACTTCCCAAGGGTCTCTTCCACCCTAGCCCTGGGTGTGCTTGACTTCAAGTCACAGACTATCACTGCAGACCGAGAGTGCCTCTTCTGTGCCATCTGTCTTTTGCAAACTTAATGGCTCTTTTTGTTTGTTGGTGTGTCAGTTCACCAATCATTGGCAAAGAAACTAATACACAACTGAGTCACCAGTGTTCTACTCCCAGAAGTTTTCTTATCCAGAAAAACATAAAATGGAGGGTTGAAGTAGATGATCTCTGGGTATTCTCTGTGTTCGGCAGTTCTGTCATTCTCTAGTTGTCCCCTGTAATTTGTGAAACTTGGGATAGTATCTACCTCTGCTTAGTAATTGGAAGAACTTTAAGTAAATGCAGACCACCCGGGGTGGTGGTGGTTAGTGCTCAGCTGTGTCTTAGGAAAATTGAACTATGGATAAATAACTTGCCTTGAGATGGTATAGTCCAAGAATAGACAGCTCTCTTTCTCATTGCTATAAGAGACAGTTGAGATTCAGGGCTAATGTAAAATATCCAGATTATACAGAAAAATGCAGAGCAAACCACGAACATCTTTTACATGACAACTCCTCTGACCTCACAAAACCTCTCTCTTCCTGATAGATGACCACTGTCAATAGTTTTATGTGATTCCATTGAATCTTTGTTTATTTATAAGCATACGCACATTTTAGTGGCTTCACAATATTCCATAGAATCACTGTATTGTAGGAATCCTCTATTGATTATTTTTCCCATTTTTTTCACAAATAATGCTGCAGTGACCATCCTTGTTGTTATATCTTTATGCACATATGTAAACACTTCTGTAAAATTAAATATTGGAAGTAGAATTTCTGAGTCAAAATATGTACATTTAAAATTCTGATAAAAACTGCCAAATTGCCATGTAAGCAAGCTCTGCCAGTTTGCATTTTTAACCCAATGCCTATTTCCCCAACCTCCACCCATTACAGTTCTCAATATTTTGAATTGTTTCCAAACTCATGCAAAAAAGATGTACTTGCTTGGAAGACATATATTTTTCACTATTAAAGTTTTCCTTTCTATATTTCTTTGAATATTGACAGTCCTACATTCTCAATGTTCTTTCATTGAGGAACTTTGATCTGATGGATGCTGGCTTTTCTGGACTGATTCTCTGGTTGTCTTGAGTTTTATCCTTTATACCCATATTTGTTAGGACTATTGAAAGAGAAACTGAGGCACATTAAATATGAAAGAGTTTATTTGAGCAAACGGTGGTGACACAGGAGATAGAAAGAAATTATTTTAGGCAGATAGTGAGGGCAAAAGAGTCCTCGGCAGAACTTCCTTTCTAACAAAAAGCAACCCAAGAAATTAATTCTCTTCTAACAAAGGGCATCCTGAAAGATGGAGCTGCAAACACAAATAAGGAAGCTGGAAGCTTGCACGGGAGAAAGCCTGCAGCTACACCAATGGAAAAGTCCTACCTGGCGGCCAGGCATGTTCACCATGGGGCTCCACCTTCCCTTTGTTGTTAGCACATGTACAGTAAGAAATGGGCAACATGGAGAAGCTCAGGCAGAGAACCCACCTGCATAATAAAAGACTGGGGTGGAGACTGTCAGAGATTCATGCCCTATGCAGATGCCACACCTGGTCCTAACTGGTTTTTCATGCCCTATGTAGATCAGACACCACCTCTTTACTAGCTCATCTATAAAAACCCTGCATTTCACTGCAGATTGGCAACTCATTTTTCTGGGACCCCTCTCTGTAGCAGAGAGCTATTTTCTTTCTTTTGCCTATTAAATTTTTGCTCCTAACCTTACTCTTTGTGTCCAGGTCTTTGATCTCCATGGCTATGAGACAGTGAACGTTGAATATCACCCCAGACAATGAGGCTGCTTTATTGGTTCACGAATTGGGCAGTTCCAGAATGCAGGTGGTTCAGGGCTCTGATGAAGGGGAATGAAGGAGAAGGCTTTTATAGGGTGAATACGGGAGCAAGGCAAAGAAAATATTTGGTTGTTTACAGTGGAGCAGTAGGTTTAGTTGAATCATTCCAGCAAAAGTCCCTTGTTAGAGGTTGGCCATTTCTGACTGAATAAGCTTAAGTGTTTTGTTGTTGTTGTTGTTGTTGTTTACTGTTTACAATGAGTTGAGTTTCAGTTTGCTGATGCAGGCAGTGGAATTGCCTCAGTCTAATGGCCTTCCAATTATTTTAACAGGACTTTGTACTTTTTACCTTGCATTCTGGAAAAATTCCTTTGATTCAATCAAGAACATAAATTTACTTTCAAGTTGTATCCATTTGATATTCAGTCCATCCACTGAGGTTTATAATTCCTAAGATCTCTAACTGGTGACCTTTTCATAATAATCTCTTCTGATGTTTCACTGGGGCAACTTCTCTCATTCTCCTGAGAACTTGACTCTTATTTTCAAGGGTTCACCTGTGTCCTCTGTTGGCTTTATTTTCTCCAGAGTTTGTTTTTACTGCTGGGTTCAGTACCTCTTTCGTGATTTTGGCTTTTCTCAAATTTTTGGAGATGTTTAGTTACCTGCCCACCTCTATGTTTGCGTATTCCTATTTGCATGTCTCTGGATGAGGGTTGTGCATAGGGGTTCGTCTCCAGGTTTCATAGGAGAGACTGAGTATGCTGCTGAGATGTGAGGCATTCATGTGCTAGTAGTGCCCTTCTGGGAGTTCTCACTCTCTGAGGAAATTGCCCTATTCATTTGTATTTGTGAGTTAAAACATGTCTGTTTTGTGCTGCTCAACAGAGAGGGCAGAAGGACAGGGTAGGAGGAAAGGGATGACTGGCCCATCAGCTCCATATACAGTTTCCCAGCTCATCATTGTGCCAGTCATTCCAGAGCTCTTTCCATTTCTGTCTCTCTGTTGCCTCTAGACTTAGAGCTCTACTTACATTATAGCAGTTTGAATTTTTCTATGTGTGTCTGAGGACTCTTATCTCCTTGGTCAATCTAATTTCCACTAAATCTTTAAAATTTCTTGTCCATAGGTGGTACTCCTTTTAGTTGTCAACATTCATTATAAAATTATTATGATATTACTGTACCTGTTCTTCATTTATAAGAATTTTTTTATAAGATGGGGAGTAGAGTAGGGCTCTGTGCTCAGTTAACATTTTCATTCAAACTTAATTTCCATTCTCGGTCTTGCTATTTTAAAAAAGATGCCCTCTGTACCACATATTATATTTTGTATGCTAATATGGGCTCAGAGTGTTTTACATTTTGCATGTCTAATTTTGCAAATCAATATGTTTCTGTTATGGGAATCAATGGAAGTTTATAAGTAGTAAAAAAATAAAAATAACCAGGGTTGTAAAACACAAAAATTATTGATTTATTAGCCTTTGCTTTTTTTTAATTTATTCACTTATTCATCACTCATTTGACAAATATTTATTGAACATGTCTGCCAGGCATTATGGATCTAGGCAAGATCCTAGAACTCAAGGAGCTCAATTTAGTGAAAGAGACTAAAGGGAGAAAATGAACTAGTGCATATCCAACGCTGAATTTATTACCAGAAAAGCAAGCGTGGGTTTTGCCACTAAAGGTAATGGCAATAAATTACCAATTACAAATGGTAATTTATTAATAGTAAATGGTAATGGTAATTTGTTGCCATTATTTTTAATGGCAAAACCTGCAATCACTTTTGCACCAATCTAAATACAACTCCTTGAAAAGGAATGAATCATCTAGGTTGCTGCAGAAATCATTTTCATTACTGGTCCAGTAAAAATAATGAGAATTTCCTAAAACAAAAACATCCTTTAGTGCCATTGAGATCACTTTAGTTAGGCATGGGAAAATAAGAAAACTGTGTAACTGATGATAGATCTCTCACTTAAAGGCAAGCTGAGGTAGACAGAGACCTTTTGCAATTTTTATGAATAATTTGAAGAGGAAATTGAAAAATTATCTTCCCTGTTGAGGTCATGATCTTTGCAGACCCCATATTCCTCTTTGCACAGAGAAGACATTAAATACATATTTGCTAAATAAATGAATGTAGAGGCATGGTTTCTTCAGTAGTGTATCATAAAACAGTAGGACAAAAAATATATTTAAGTCTTTGTCTGCTTCTTGTATCAATATAATGCTGACCTCATAGAATGAATTGGGAAGCTTTTTTCATTTTTATATGGTGGGATATCTTGAATAGAATTGGCATTATTTATTTCTCAAATGTTTGACAGAACTCACTAATGATGCCACCTAAACCTGGAGTTTTTACTGTGGGAAGGTTTTTAACTAAAAATTCATTTACTTTAATTGATATAAGGGTATTTGGGTTATCTATCTTTTTTGAATGAGCTTTAGTAATTTTTCTTTTTTGGCTGGTGGCGGTAGAATTTATTCGAATGTGTCTTAATACAGGCACTGGGGGCTTGCCCATGGTGCGCTTGATATATAAAGCCTAGACATTCTGCCAATTTTTCTTGAGTAATGACACCAGGAAGTTGACAGTCAGGTGAATGTTATACACAAGTTTATTGTCTGTAACATTTACATGGCCAACAGTCACAGCCAGACACAGCACCTTCGTCATCTGGAACTTGATTGTGGACTTCACCTCATCCACTTCATTTTCATTGTGTATCAGCAGGGAAGGGAACGTGCCAGCCTTATGTAGGCCTGGGCGAGGACTTACGGGATCTGCTTGATCAGAGACTCTGATGCCAAAAGAGCATCCTACTTCTTGGCCAGCTTCTTGACCAGTTTCTTATTCTGGTTGAATTTTTTCAGCACCTCGATGTCCATGTGTGGGATATCCACAGCCTTGGCCTCATTACAGTGCTGCTGTTTCTCCAGGACACACACAGAACTTAGAGCGGGGAGTGGACTTAAGCCTGATGGTGCCCGAGAAGCATTTGTCCTGGAGGTCATAGTTCATCAAACTTATCTGCAACTCCAGTCTCCAAAAACTTGGGGCACTTGCACTCGTCCCCATGCAGGGCCTTCCTGCACCACCTCATACAGGGTGTCCTGAGAGACTTTACTGCTCATGGCTCCTCATGCCATGGTAATTGGAAAAGGAGCTTCAGTAACTTTTATCTTACAAAAATTTGTTCATTTTATCTGCACTGATAAATTTCTTATCGTGAATTTGTTCATAACATCCCCTTATTATTTTATTATTTTTTATTTTGTGTAGGATCTGCTGTGATGTCCTGTTTCTCATAGAGATATTTGGAATTTGTATCTTCTCTTTTTTTTTTTTCCTTATCTGTATTGCTAAAAGTTGATCCATTTTTATCGACATCTTCAAAGAATCAGAATTCTGATTCACTGATTTTTGTGGGCATGGTTTTGTTTTCTGTTTTCTCTTTTATTGAATTCTGCTCTTTATTATTTCTATTCCCTTGTCTACTTGAGTTTAATTTGTTCTTTTTCCTTTTTACATTTTTAAAGTATACATTTATCACTTAAAGCCCTTCTCTTCTCTTCTCTTCTTTTCTTTTTCCTTTCTTTTCTTTATTGAGACAGAGTCTTGCTCTATCAACCAGGCTGGAGTGCAGTGGCAAGATCTTGGCTCACTGCAACCTCCGCCTCCTGGGTTTAAACGATTCTCATGCCTCAACCTCCCAAGTGGTTGGGATTACAGGTGCATGCCACCACACTCAGCTAATTTTGTATTTTTAATAGAGATGGGGCTTCACCATGTTGGCCAGGCTGGTCTCGAACCCCTGGCCTCAAGTGATCCGCCCACCCCGGCCTCCCAAAGTGCTGGGATTACAGATGTGAGCCACTGCTCCTGGCTTTCTAAAATTCTTTTAACTTGATTGAGACTTGTTTTAAAGCCTAGAATAGATCCATTTTGGTAAATGGTCTATGTGCTCTTAAATAAAGGAATTCTATTTATTTAGTGGAGTGCTCCATAAATGTGAGTTCAGTGAAGCTGGTTGATAGTATTTTTTAGTTCCTCTATGTACATATTGATATGTTATTTACTTGTTCTATCCACTAATGAGAAAGGGGTTTCAAAGTCACTAAATAACTGAAGACGTTAGAATTTCTCTTCAAGTTCTGTTAGCTTTTGCTTTATGTTTTTTGAAGCTCTCATTAGGTCATTAAGTGCATAAAAGTTTAGTTCTGTTCTGTCCTCTTGATGAATTTACCCCTTTACCATTGTAAAATTACTCTATTACATCTGTCTCAAATTTTGATACTTTTGGCCATTATATTTTTCAAATATTTTTTCTGTCTCTTCCTCTCCTTCAGAGACTGCAAGGACATATATATTAGATTTTTTGTGTTGTCACTGATATTCTGTTCAGTCTACTGTTTTTTATTTGTCTTTTCCTGGAGTTCATTAATCTTTTCGCATGTTGTGTCTAATCTGCTGTTAATCCCATTCAGTGTATGTATTATTTCTAGAATTTAGATGTGTGTCTTTTTTTATATCCTTTAAAATCTCTCTGTAGCATACTTAGCTTCTCAAACATATAGAATATAGTTACAGTATAGTTACAGTATTTGTTTTAATATCTGTGCCTACTAATCTATGTCATTTCTGAGTTGACTTCAATTGCTTAATTATTTTTCTCAGTGTGGATCATAGTTTCCTGTTTCTTGGCATGTCTGGTAGATATTACTAGATGCCAGAGGTTGTGAATTTGATTTTATTCTGTGCTGGATATTATCATATTTTAAAAAATATTCTTTCCTTTTGTTATGAGGTATAGTTACTACTTACTGGTGAACAATTTGGGTTTTTTGAGGCTTTTTTTTTTTTTTTTTAAAGAGACAGGGTCTCACCATGTTGCCCAGGCTGGAGTGCAGTGGCTGTTCGCAGGCTACTGTGCCCAAATTTAATGCTAGCTTTTTATGATTTTTTAATTTTTTTCCTTAAGGAGAGACCAAAGCAGCCATGAGTCTAGGGCTAATTGTTTTCTGTTTTATTTTCCAGACAGTACCTTTCTAATTACTCTATTTCTCATGTGTTACAAGATATGTGTCCACTCTGAGTGGAACGCCAACTCTTTCTGGCCTTGTGTGTGGGTTGGCGATTATTCCATCTGCTCCTTCCAGGCAGGTGTGCCCCAGGTGACAGGTAGCTCCTTACAGCTGTGTGCCAATCAGCACTCAGCTGAAGACTCAAGGAGACCTGAAGATCTTCACCGCTTCTCTATGAGGATTTTTCTCTCTCTGGTTTTCTGCCCTGCCAACTCTAGCCTTTCTAAAATCCCGAGTCTTTCTCCTCAACTTAGGGATTGTGGTGGACTCTTTCGAGGTCCTGCTTTTCTGTGCCATGGCAAGGAAGCTCACTCAGTGTGGGTCTGGTCCTCAGCAGGATGCTCTGGGCTGGTGATGTACATTTGCAGGTTACCAATATGTACAGCGAGGGGTGCCTTGGGAGTAAATTAAAGTCCCTCAGGAAAGGGGTACAGAGTGAGAAGAGAAAATCCTAAGATAGAGCCCTAAGGAACATGGAAATATATGTAGGAAGTGAAGTGATAAGTCTATTATAAGGATTTTAGAGAAATGCCCCTAAGCCATTTGTAGTCTAGAGTTTCTGATATGATTCCAGAGTGTAGTCATTATCCAGAAATTTGATAAGTCACCAGATGAGATTACTCTGGGTCTACTGGGTGACGTGCTTCCTTTGGGAACATCACTAGGAGCTCAAGATAACAGCACATCTAGAATCATAGGAAAGGCCTATAGGGCCAGGAATACCATATCTCCACAGATGAAGGCAGTGTTCAACCTTAGTTTCTACACTAATAGACCACCATGGAAATTAACAAAAGCTGGTAATAATAACAATAACTATAGTGAAAATTAAGTAGAAAATGAAGAAATCAAAAAGAAAATGAAAAAGGGAAAAGTCTGCATCTATAAAACAGACAGATTTTGGATTTCTAGACCTAAATTAAATACCCAGACTGTCTCCTACTGTTTGGTTCACCTTGGACAGCTTAATGGCCAAATGTCTTTGAGTCCCAGTTTGCATATTTTTCATATAGGGAATAATTGTATTAGAACTTTCAGCTTTGTAGATTTTAAGAACTGTACACATAAAAAGTGTTCTTTTTAAGACTTGACCATGATTTTGTTTTAAAAAAATTGTCATGGTAAATAAATGAAAAATAATATGAATAATTTTAATTTTTGGATAATTTTTGTACATTTATCTTTTTTACCTCTAGGGTCATAGTTTCCTAAAGGTAAATTCCATTTTTTTCCTCTTTAAAATTTTTTTATACCAAAAAAAAAAAAAAATGAGATGAGGTCTCAGTATGTTGGCCAGGGTAGTCTTGAATTCTTGGCCTCAAGCAATCCTCCCACCTCGGCCTCCCAAAGTGCTAGGACTACAGGCATGAGCCACCACACCCAGCCTAGGTGCAAATTCCTTTTAAGAGCTCGTTCAATGATATAAAAGCTTAGCTTGAAAATTTCAAGTGTAATACTTTCTCTAGTTAGAGATAATATATCTCTATTTCTGTATTTGAGTTAAAACATGTTTGTTAAGGATATGACATTCAAATATTTTGAATGTTAACATGTTTTAATATTTATTTCTTGACCAAGAAAGCAATTCTTTTCATATGCATGTAAACTGCTGTGAAAGTACAGATTGGCTGATGCTGATGCTATGTAATAGCATTTTAAATTTTGTTTTGTCTTGTGAAGTTTAGATGATAAACTTGTTTATGGATTCTCCTTAAAACTTGCTTCCCTTGATTAAATTCAATAAAAACAGAAAAGTGTAGTTGGAATTGATTTCTGGAATTATACCTGTTAAGGATTTGAAAATTAATGTCTCTTGGTTCCCTGAAGTTTGATATTATTTATGTGGCTCTTATTCTATCATTTGAACGTAAGCTTTCACTTTTGATGAGGTGGAAATTAAATGAGGCTAAGGAAAGTAGTGGCATGACCTTATATTGTTATAGTACATTGTTCCAAGGAGATATTTAAAAATGAATATCAGAGTCTGAATTTTTCTTCTTGGGTAAATGAAAATGGAAATAACTAGCTAAACTGCTTCTTTTAATGGAATTTAATAATATAAAATTAAACTAATAGAAGTTAAAATAAATTTATGAGAGTTATGAAAGTACTTCCAAGAGCATACAAAATAGCTAGAGTTCTTACTTATTTATTGTTATTTATTACAGCATTCAGAATAAAGAGAAACAAATGATTGATATTGTCTTTGTTAGGATTCATTCATTGAATGCCCACTATGTACCTGGTATGGTATTTTCAAGCTGCTCTATTCAGAATTATTATTGAGGTAACTAATTATATTTTCCTGGTTAGAGTATCTTCTGGACTAGATTAATGTGAATATTATTACATTACTTTAAACCTTGCTGAAAGCTTTTTGTTTGTTTGTTTCCATTTATAATGTCTAAGGAAACTGGATAAAATGAAAAAAGTTTAATCACTTTTTTCCATTGTAAAATGAGTGGCTTCTTGAAAGTTTTTTTGGTTAAAGGAGATGATGATATGACCACGTATTAGAATATTATGCAAAAATTTAGAACTATGCTATGAAAGAACATTTAAGGACACTAACATACCATTGAGTGCAAAAAGCAGAATATAAACCTTAATTACAGCATGATACAATTTTATCGTTGTTAGATAGGCAGATGGAATATAGGAAAGAACAAGAATGAAATATAAATGGCAGTTAGGTCTCAGTAGGATTATGAGTGGTTTTCTTTCTTCATTATGAGGGCTTTTTTCAACACAGTTAAAAGCAAACATTTTCTGATTATAGAAACAATGAATATCATTAAAATAAATAAAAACTGATATCCAGTAGAAAACATTTTCAAAATTTAAAGATATTATTTAAAATTATTTTTTAAGCCACCACAAAGAAAATAAATTACAAAATTTATGTTTTTTTTCATTAGGGTGTATTTATCATGATCCTTTTAATGTTCACAAATGAACTACTAAAGGCAGGTAAATTTGATGGATGAACATGTACTAAGTAGGATTTATTTTAGATGATACTTTAGGGCCCCGGTTCAAAAGTGTGGCCCAGGGATCAGCAGCAGCAACATCTCTTGAAAACTTGTTACAAGTACATACTTGGGGCCCAGCAATGTATGTTTTTACAAGTGATTTTGATCCATGCTTAAATTTGGGAAATATTGCTTTACGATTTTGAGTTATGAGACTGAGCTAGAACAATTTCTCAAAAATTTTATTCTAGAAAATTTCCATCTAACATTTGCCTTCTCTCTTTCTGTCTTATTTCTCCCTATTTCTCTCTGCCTCTCTGTTACACATAACTTAGTTTTTGTTGAATGTTTATATATTTACCTTGTTTCTCCAAAATATATGAGGCATGTAAATACAGGTGTTAAAAATGCAACAATATACTAACAATAGCAAAGACTCATTTACTGCTATCTATCTTCTATGTATTGCTTTAAGTACTTTACATATAGTATGTCATTTAACTTAATTATTAATAATAACCCTATGAAAGAGTTATTAATAAATCCCCATTTTACAGACAAGGAACCTGAAGCACATGGCTAAATAACTTGCTAAGAGCATACATCCAATAAATGGCAGAATCCAAGCAACCTTATTTTGCAGCCTGAGCCCACAAACAGTTCACTGTGGTGTTTCTTGAAAGTAAAATTAGTGGAGTGACAACAGCGAATTGGCCCCAGTCTTCACTCCCTCCAACAGAAAGATTAACTAGCAACTATCCACAGACAAAAATATGTTATTGAAACTCCACAGTGTAGGAATAAGCCTGAGTCAATGCTTTTCTTCATTTCCATGGAACTAAATAAAATTCCCCATTGAAAGCTGAAAGAAACAGTCTTGCTTTGACCATGTCATCCTTCCCTCTTCCTCAAGTTGCCACAGCACCACACAGGATTCCCCAGGGCTCATGGTTTCTACAGTCAAAAAAGAGAGGTGAGGAGGTAGACATCTAACTTCTCTGACACTTCCCAGGAAGCCTACTTCACTCCCACCTCACAGGAAACAGGAAACAGGAGGATATGGCACAGCCAGATCACCTGGGGTCACAACGAAACAAAGCAAGGAGGGTAAAACCCACGGAGACCAGTGGGTAGATCTTGATGAAAGCTCAGTGTACCTGCCAGCAGTACCGTGATCAGAGATATCAGGTAATAGCATAGGTCACCTGCAAAGTCAAGCTGGTCACTCCCAGAAGAGGTGGGAAGGACTACTAGGCTTGAATCCCTCGATAGCCAGCCTCCATGTCTAGCTTTTGACCCTACCCCTGGGAGCTCCTCAGGGAATGAGAAAACCCTTTCCCTACCCACTGGTGGTGAATTTCCACAACAAGTAGACACTAGATCTGCCATAAACTGAAGCTTAATGTTTCACACAGCCCCAAAGCCTATCCCCTAGACCCTACATAGTGAGAAAGACAATCACTGCAGCAAATTTTGACAATAAGCAGGTATTAGTTTTGCCACAATCAGGAATATAATATACTGAGTATAGCGTTTGGTCCATTCATCACAATCCAATTAACTTTAGGGTCCCTTCTGCAACTTTGTCCAACTGATGAGTCCAGATAGCAGTATATTCCAGCTGGAGAATATACTCTGTAGCCCAGCCAGATCAGAAGTGACTTTGGTGCCCACACAGAAGCTCAGCCTCATAGCAGGGCTTAGCTGGTGGTCTTGCTGGATAGCAGAGCATAGCCAGCTGTTCCACCCAAATTCAGAGAAAAGGCAGTGACCCAGACATCTAGAGAACCTGAATGCAAGCTCTGCCTGCCCAGATTCATTACCAGCTGGCCCATTCAGAATTATAGCATAGACTAACTAGTGAAGGTCTATCTCTGCCAAAGAACTCTTATAAATGCCAGAAAAGGTGGCTTTCTCTGAAAATGCATAAACAGCAATGCAGGAACACAAAGATTACACAGATTTGAGAAATCATGACACCTCCAAAAGAAACTAACAAAACTCCAACAATGGACACTAAAGAAAGGGAAATTTATGAAATGACAAAAAAATTTAGAATAATCCTCTTAACAAAGTTAAGTGAACTTCAAAAACATACAGATAAAAATTAAATAAAATGTGTAAAACATTACATGAACAATATGAGAAGTTTGACAAAGAAATAGAAACAATTAAAAAATACCCAAATAGAAATCCTAGAGATGAAGAATACAATGCTTGAACTGAAAAATGCAATAAAGACTTCAACAGTCTGCTTGATCAAACTGAAGAAAGAATGAATGAACTCGAAGACAGTACTTATGAAATTTCCCAATCAAAGGAGCAAAAGGAAAAAAAGAAAAAGAATAAAGTATGACCGTGGGAATTATGGGACACCACTGAGGCCTAACCTGTGCATAATACACATTTCACAAGGAGAAGACACAGTAAAAGGGCCAGAAAACATATTGAAAGAAATATTGGATCAAAAAGTCATTAATGGCCAGGCACAGTGGCTCATGTCTGTAATCCCAGCACTTTGGGAGACCAAGGCAGATGAATCACCTGAGGTTAGGAGTTTGAGACCAGCCTGGCCAACATGGTGAAACCCTGTCCCTACTACAAATACAAAAAATTAGCCAGGTGTGGTGGCGGGCACCTGTAATCCCAGCTACTCGGGAGGCTGAGGCAGAAGAATCGCTTGAACCTGGGAGGCGGAGGTTGCAGTGAGCCAAGATAATGCCATTGCACTCCAGCCTGGGCAACAAGAGCAAAATTCCGTCTCAAAAAAAAAAAAAGAAAAAATGTCATTAATTGAGGAAAGAAACCAACAGCTAGGTACAGAAAATGTAGAGGTCATCAACTAAGTTCAACCCAAAAAGGAGTTCACCAAGACATATAATAATCAAACTATCAAAAATCAAAAACAAAAAATTTCTGAGAGCAGCAAGAGACAAGCAATATATTACCTACAAAGAAGTCTCAATACAATCATCGGTAGACTTCTCAGCAGAAACTCTCTAGGCCAGTGGGATAGTATTTTCAAAGTGCTGAATGAAAAAAAAACAAAAAACAACCCTGCCAACCAAGAATGCTCTAACCACCAAAGCTTTCAGAAATGAGAGAAATAAAAGCTTTCCCAGGCAAATAAAAGCTAAGAAAATTCATCATTATTAGGTCTCTCTTACAGGAATTACTAAAAGAAATTCTTTAAGCTAAAAAAAAAAATGCTTCTAACTAGTAACATAACATTTAGAAAAGCACAAAACCTAATGGTATACATAATAAATAGCAATATTCAGAATACCCTAGGACTGTAATCATGGTATGTAACATAATTTTATCCCTAGTGTAATGGTTAAAGGATGGAATTATTAATAACAACTATAGCTAAAATAAATTGTCAGGAGATATATATTATAAAATGTTAATTTGGACATCAAAAGCATAAAATTTGGAAGAGGGGAGTAAAAGTGCAGAATTGTTACATGTAATCAAAGTTAAGCTGTTATCAGTTTGAAGTAGACTGTTATAAGTGTAAGATATTCTAGGAAAGTCTCATGGTAACCAAAAAGTGAAAAAACATTCAAAACATACCACTAAGGAAACCATACACCATAGCAAACTATAAAGGAAAACAACAAGACAGGAAGAAAGAAAGAAAGTAACTACAAAACAACCAGAAAACAACAAAATGGCAATAGTAAATCTTTATGCAACAGTAACCTTGAATGAAAAGAGATTAAATTCTCTAATCAAAAGACATAGAGTGATGAATGAACTAAAAAAATGAGACCCAAGTACATACTGCCTACACACTTCACTTTTCAAAGAACACAGAGATTGAACATTAAAGGATGGAAAAAGATATTCCACACAAAAGGAAACCAAATGAGAACAGGGGTAGTGATAGCTACATTAGAGAAAATAGACTTTAAGTCAAAAAGTATTTTAAAAAGACAAAGAAGGGCATTATATAATGATAAAGGGGTCAATTTATCAATAGGATATAACAATTATATATGCACCTAACAGTGTAGCACCTGAATCTATAAAGGAAATATTAAAGTATCTGAAGGGAAAGGTATATTTCAATACAATGTAAGTAGAGGATTTAATAATCACTTTCAATATTGGATAGACATAAAATCAATAAGAAAACAGTGGACTTGAGCAACATTTCAGACTAACTGGACCTGGCAGACATGTACAAAACATACCAAACCAACAACAACCAAATACACATTCTTGTCAAGAGCACACAGAACATTTTCCAGAATAAACCATATATTAGGTCACAAGGCAAGTCTAAGCAAATTTAAGAAGATTGAAATCATATCTGGTATTTTTTTCTGATCACAATGGGTTAAGACTAAAAATCTGTAACAGTAAGACTTTCAGAAAACTCAATGAAATTAAACATGCTCCTGAATAGCCAGTTGATCAGTGAATAAAAGGGAAATTAAAAAATGTCTTGAGACAAATGAAAATGGAAACACAACATACCAAAATTTAGGAATGCAGCAAGAGAAGTTCTGAGGGGTGAGTCTGTAGCAATAAGTGCCTATATCAAAAAGAAAAAATATTTCAAATAAATAATGTTACACCTTAAGAAAACATAAAAAGAACAAACTAAGCCCAATGTTAGCAAAAGAAAATAAATAAGAATTATCACAGAAATAAATGAAATAGAAACCAGAAAAATGATTTAAAAAATCAATAAAACTATAAAACTAAGAGTGGTTATTTGAAAAATTAAACAAATTTGACAAACCTTTAGCTGGACTAAGAAGAAAAGACTCAAATAAAATCAAAAATAAAAGTGGAGACATTACAACTGATAACTACAGAAACACAATCATAAGAAACTATTATGAACTATTATATGCCAACAAATTGGATGACCTAGAATAAATAAATTTCTAGACACATACAACCTATCAAGACTGAATGACAAAGAAATACAAAATCTGAGCAGATGAATAACAAGTGAGGAGATTGAACCAGTAATGAAAAGTCTCTCATCAAGAAAAGCCCAAGGCCTGTTGGCTTCGCTGCTGAATGCTGCCAAACATTTAAAGAACTATTACCAATTCCCCACTGACTTTTCTAAAAAAATCACAGAGGAAAGAATACTTCCAAAGTCTTTTTACAAAGTCAGCATTACCCCTATACTAAAGCCAGACAAGGACATCACAAGTAAAGAAAACTACAGGCCAATATCCTTGATAAATATAGATGCAAATATCCTCAACAAAATACTCACAAATAAAATTCAACAACACATGAAAAGGATCATTTACCATGATCAAATGGGATCTATCCCTGGGATGCAAGGATATATCCACATTGACAAATTATTAAATGTGATACACCACATTGACAGAAAAAATAAGTCATATGATCATCACATTAGATGCAGAAAGAAACACTTCACAAAATTTAACATCCTTTCATGGTAAAAAAAAAAACACTCAAATTGTATATAGGAGAAATGTACTTCATAATAAAGGCCATATATAATCTCACAGATAACATTATACTCAATGGTGAAAAATTAGAGCCCTTTCATCTAGATCCAGTATAAGACAAGGATGCCCATTCTCATCACTTCTATTCAACATAGTATTGGACGTCCTTGAAAGAAGAGTAAGTTAAGAGAAAGAAATAAAAGGCATCCAAATAGAAAAGGAAGAAGTGAAACTGTTGTTTGCTGATGACATGATCTTGTAGGACAGAAGACCCCAGATTGGGGCTTAGTCCAGGAGGGTTTTGGCTTCACCCAGGAAATAATTCAACAGCAAGCCAGTGGTGGTAGACAGCAATCATATTAAATGGTACTTCTCCTTGAAGAGCACGGCTGACTTATTGGCCACGTGCCCAGGGTTGGCATCACAAGGGATCTTGGCAACTTTATTTATACTCAGATAAATCTGCTTTCAATTATAGGAAAATTAAGGGGTGGATCAATGCAAATTCAGGGTGGATTATTTAGAACTCTCTAGGAAAAAGGCCATAACTTCCAGGTTGTTGGCAAAGTGGGTGGTAACTTCTGGGTCATTGTCATGGCATGTGTAAACTGTCATGGTGCTGGTGGGGAGTGTCTTATGCCTATGAGCAAGGAGGGCAGCTAGGGATCACTTTCATCATCATCTGCTGGTTCCTGCCAGTTTCTTCACTTTATCCTGTCTGGACCAGATCTTGTTTTGTGACCAGGAAGTAAGTCTTCCTGGTCTCTTACCTCAATCTTACATATAAGAAACTCTAAAGAATCCACCAAAAAAAAAAACTGTTAGAGTTTATCAACAAATTTAGTGAAGTTACAGGATATGAAATCAACATGGAAAAATTAGGATTTCTTTTCACTAACAACAAACTTTGGAAAAGAAATCGAGAGAATAATCCCATTTATAATAGTTATAAAAAATAAAATAGGAATAAATTTAATCAAGGAGGTGAAAGACTTTTACACCAAAAAGTATAAAACATTAATGAAAAAAATTGAAGACACAAATATATGGAAATAATTCTGGCTGGAATAATTAATATTGCAAGCCATGTATCTGATAGAGAATTAGTATTCAAAATACCTAAGGAACTCAACTCTATAGAAAGAAAACAATCTGATTAAGAAATATGCAAAGGACCTGAATAGATATTGTAAGAATTACACTATGCAAAGAAATTTACAGATTTATTGCAATTCTTATCAAAATCCCAATGTCATTTTTCAAAGATATAGAGAACACAGTCCTAAAATTCATATGGAACCATAAAAAACTCTTAATGGCCAAGGCAATCATTAGCAAAAGGAGCAAAGCCAGAGGCATCACACTACCTGATTTCAATCTGTACTGTACTACAAAACAGTAGTAATTAAAGCAACATAGTACTGGCAAAAAAGTAGACACATTGACCAATGGAACAGAAGAGAGAGCACAGAAATTAAACCACACATCTGTGGTCAATTGATTTTTGACAAAGGTGCTAAGAATATACAATGGAAAAAGAGCACTGTCTTCAATAAATGGTATTGGGAAAACTGGATATTCATATGCAAAAGAAATACACTGTATACACACTGTATACAAAAATCAACTCAAAATGGGTTAAAGAAACATAAAACCTGAAAGCGTGAAACTACTAAAACAGGGGAAGAGCTACATGACATTGGCCTGGATGATAACATTTTTACATTTCACCTCGAAAGCACAGGCAACAAAGGCAAAAATAAACACATGGGATTACATTCAAATAAAAAGCTTATTTAAAACAAAGGAATTAGCAGAGTGAAGACACAACCTAGGGATTAGGAGAAAATACTTGCAAACCATATACCTGATAGAAAACTAATATCCAAACTATACAAGAAACTCAACTCTATGGGAAGAAAAACTAGTAATCTGATTAAGAAATAAGTAAAGGGCTTTCGCAGATATTTCTTTAAAGACATACAAATGGGTAACAGATACATAAAAAATGTTCAGTATCACTAACCATTAGGGAGATGCCAATTAAAACCACAACAAGATATTACTTTACACCTGTTAGAGTGGCTATCATCAAAAGGACAAAAGACCAGCATTGGCAAGGTCTGGAGAAAAGGGAACTTATGCACTGTTGGAAGAAATGTAAATTAGTGTAGCCATTATAGAAAACTGTATGGAGATTCCTCAAAAAACTAAAAATAGATTTGCCATATGATCTAGCAGTCCTACCTTTGGGTATTTACCCAAAGATTTTAAATCGGTATGTTGAAAAGATGTCTGCACACCCATGTTTATTGCACCACTCTTCATAATAGCCAAGCTGTGGGATTAACCTAAGTGCCCATCAACAGATGAATGGAGTTTTGAAAATATGGAATGTATGTACAACGAAATAGTATTCAGCCTGAAAAAAGAAAGTTTGTAATTTGTACCAACATGGATAGAATTGGAGAACATATGCTAAGTGATAAGCCAAACACAGAAAGGCAGATTACCACATGTTCTCACTTATATGTGGAATATAAAACAATTGCAGTTATAGAAGTAGAGAGTAGAATGGTGGTTACCAGAGGCTGGTGGGTAGAGGGGATGAGGAGATGATAATCAAAGGGTACAAAGCCTAAGATTGGAGGAATAAGTCTGCTTCTTTTTTGAGATCTGTTGCATAGCATAGTGAATATAGATAATAATTGAGTACTGTACATTGTATCATTAAGAGAGTATAGCTCCAATGTTCTCATCATGAAAATGTCAAATATTTAAGGTGATGGACAGTTTTATAACTTATGATTCTACCGATATTGTAAAAAATCACTTTGTACCTTATAAAACTATAATTTGTCAAAATATAAACTTTTAAAAAAATTAGTGAGGAATAAGGGATGAATGAAAAATAAAATGGCAAGACGAATACACAATCTATTCTGCAAGTTTTATATAGTTGCTAAATGTGGCCCATGAATTTGCCTGTAGCACCAGCAGAAAGTAAAAAAGGATAAAATACAAAATTTATAATCACCAAAATATGTAATCAAGCCAGTTTTCAGAAAGGTCACAAATGAGTTTTGAGAGAAACATTTTTTGTGTCTCTGCATTCTCAGAAGGATGCTGTATTAGTCTGTTCTCATGCTGCTAATAAAGACATACCCGAGACTGGGTAATTTATAAAGGAAAGAGAGGTTTTATGGACTCACAGTTCCACATGACTGAGGACAATCATGGTGGAAAGTGAAGGAGGAGCAAAGGCACATCTTACATGGGGGCAGGCAAGAGAGTGTGTGCAGGGGGACTGCCCTTCATAAAACCATCAGATCTTGTGAGACTTACTCACTATCATGAGAACCGCATGGGAAAAACCGACCCCCATGATTCAATTACCTCCTGCCTCGTCCCTTCCATGACACATGGGGATTATGTGAACTACAATTCAAGATGAGATTTGGGTGGGGACACAGTCAAACCATATTATATGCCATTGTAATTTTCATTTTGTTCATTCACTATTTATACAATAATTATTTCTTGAACACCTTCTATTTGTTAGGGTTGTGCTGTTTGCTTGAGGATAGAAAGAATAAGGATAGAAAGAATAAAACAGGGCCGGGCGCGGTTGCTCATGCCTGTAATCCCGGCACTTTGGGAGACTGAGGTGGGTGGATCACCTGAAGTCAGGAGTTAGAGACTAGCCTGACCAACATGGAGAAACCCCATCTCTACTAAAAATATAAAATTAGCTGGTTGTAGTGGTGCAATGCCTGTAATCTCAGCTACTCAGGAGGCTGAGGCAGGCTGAGGCTTGAGCCTGGGAGGTAGAGGTTGCGGTGAGCGGTGATCACGCCATTGCACTCCAGCCTGGGCAACAAGATTGAAACTCTGTCTCAAAAGGAAAAAAAAAAAAAAAGAATAAAACAGAATCCATGTCTTACAGATAAGCAGGGTCTAGGGTAAAAGAATAATGGCTGTATCTTTCTTTGGCTTTCATCACTTCATGTTTGAGGGAGGAGTAAGAAAATATAATGACAGGCAGGAGTGGACTTGGATTGAGGTTGCAATAGGAGATGAGGCCTGAAGGAGGATTTGAAACAAAAATGAAGCACTCGTGTGGGCTGACAGTGCCTGGTCACAGAAACACCATTCATTCCTTTGACTTGACTACATCTCTTTCTAACTACAATCTGTCATTTAAGGATACCTCTCGATGACCTGGACTCTGAGTTTGGGAGTTTCCTTGGATTCTTAGGAAATCATGTGGCTTTGGTGATAAAGTGAAGCCGGGTGGTAAGAGGATGCAAAGTCAGCTGGTTTCAGAAAGGCTCTGAACTGTGTGTGTGTGTGTGTGTGTGTGTGTGTGTGTGTGTGTGTGTACGTGTGTATACATATATTTATCACTAACAGAGTGATGTATGCCTGGCTGCCTGACCAAAGATGACCCTTTCACCTCTGTAAATAACCCTTAAAAGCTGTACATAGACTTTTAAAATTGCTTTTCCTCCTTTCTCCATCCAGAATTTATCTAATTTATCTTGGTCTTTTTGGGCTACCATAACAAAATATCATAAACTCGGTAGCTTATATACAACAGAAACTTATTTCTCACAGTTTTGGAGGCTGGGAAATCCAAGATCAAGATGCTGGTAGATTTGGCATCTGGTGAGGGCCCATTTCCTTTTTCATCTATGGTGCCATCTTGCTGTATTCCCACATGATAGAAGGGGCAAGGGAGCTCTTTAAGGCCTTTTTTTTTCTTTTAGAGACAAAGTCTCACTATGATGCCCACACTGGAGTGTAGTGGCTATTCACAGGCACAGTCATAGTGCACTGCAGCCTCAAAACCCTGGAATCAAGCAGTCTTCCAACCCCAGCCTCCTTACTAGCTGGGACTATAGGTGCATGTCACCATGCCCATCTCTGAGACTCATTCATGAGGGCAAAACTCTGTCTTCGTGACCTAATCAGCTCCCAAAAGTCCCCATCTACTAATATCATCACCTTGGAGGTTAAGGTTTCAACATGTGAATTTTGGGTGTACACAAATATTCAGACTGTAGCAGTCAAAATGATTTGTCACAGTGGTCACAGCTCCTTCCCAGTTATCATGGCCCTGTCTTCTGCCACTTTTAGCCATGAGCCCCTAGAGAGAGAGATGGCTCAGATTATCATACTGGGGCCTAATGATATGTATGTGAGTGACTTTGACCACCTGGACATTCAGCTGGTATTTCTAAGTGAAAATCATATCAAGAGTTATGTTTATGTTCAGATTTTAAAATGAACAATGTCAGTTAAATAACACGTTGTAAACCAAAAATAAAATTCGAAACAACCCATCCATCTAAATGGAATCCTCTTCTCAGCTAGGCATATTCCGAAGGTAACCTGAAAAACTAGTTCAGGCCATGATGAGAAGTGGGAGCTGGACTTGCCTAATTTGTGCCCTCCTCCCTTTTGGAATTGCTGATAGAACAGACTCTAAGTCTGATAAGAAACATTTACAATCTATTCTCTCTGAAGCCCGCTACCTAGAAGCGTCATCTGCGTGATAAATCCTTGGTCTCTACAACCCCTTATAGTAACTCAGACATTCCTTGCTTTTGATAATAACTCTTTCAACCAATTGCCAATCAGAAAATCTTTGACTCCACCTATGACCTGGAAGCCCCCACTTCCAGCTGTCCTGCCTTTCAGGACTGAACAAATGTACATTTTACATGTATTGACTGATGTTTTTTGTTTGTTTGTTTGTTTGAGATGGAGTCTCGCTCTGTCACCCAGGCTGGAGTGCAGTGGTGCGATCTTGGCTCACTGCAAGCTCCGCCTCCCAGGTTCAAGCCATTCTCCTGCCTCAGCCTCCAGAGTAGCTGGGATTACAGGCGCCTGCCACCACGCCCAGCTAATTTTTTGTATTTTTAGTAGAGACAGGGTTTCACCGTGTTAGCCAGGACGGTCTTGATCTCCTGACCTCATGATCTGCCCGCCTTGGCCTCCCAAAGTGCTAGGATTACAGGCATGAGCCACCGCGCCCGGCCTATTGATTGATGTTTTATGTCTCCCTAAAATGTATAAAACCAAGTTATGGCCCAACCACCTTGGGCACATGGTCTCAGGATCTCCTGAGGGTTCTGTCATGGGCCATTGGTCACTCACATTTGACTTAGAATAAATATCTTCAAATGTTTTACAGAGTCTGACTGTTTTTATTGACAGCATGATGCTAGCATATGTGTTTCATTTTTAATTTGAAACAATAGATATCTAGTGATCTTTTCTGGACTGCTTTTGAGTAGGAAGAAGAAGAAGAGCAAACTCATTCAGAAGCCTGGATACTACACTTGAATTATTTAACAGGGTCTATCACTTAGAGTGGGGTTTGAAGGCTGTGTTGAGAAATAAGCATAAAGATCTTTGGCATGTTCACTAGAGAATAGATTTCCCTTCTAGGCAGTGATAATCGTATCCCCACCCATTTTTCATGGAATGTTGAGAAGTTGTCACTTCTTGAGTTTCCCAAGAGAAAGCAGCACCACTTACTTTTCTTTGTCTTTGTTTCCTCTTTCAGTCCCAGCAGAAGTGCATCGTGATCTTTGCCCTGGTGTGCTGCTTTGCCATTCTGGTTGCACTGATCTTTTCAGCCGTGGACATCATGGGAGAGGATGAGGATGGACTCTCAGAAAAAAATTGCCAAAATAAATGTCGGTAAGAGGTAACAAACAAAAATTCTCTTTTAGGGGGCGGGCAAGAAATCCAAAGAGGGCCTTGAACAATGGAGAAGAGAATACATAAACACACGTAGTCATCCAGGCTCCCCTTAGCTTAAGCTGAGGTGTGAGTCTGTCCACTAGTACTCTTACTTTTAGGGCAAGTAATGAGTAATGATTGAATTCACTTTACAATCTGGTCATATTCTCTACAGGCTGGTGGGAACAAAAAAATTTTTCTAACAGTCAGCATTTCTGGAGACCACTGTATATGAGGTTTGTTTTGGGTGTTCATGATGAGCCTGTAAAAAGGAGTGCCCCAATGGACAAAGAACGCTGTGCTAGTTGTTCCATCAAATGTAAGTTAAAAAATACACGTCTCAGGGAAAATTCCAACTTAACGTTAGGGATTGAAGAAGTAAGTGTGTCGATGAGAAGACACAGGGCTCCTCGACCTGTCCCAGTTTAGCACACAGTTTGTTTTTAATCTAGAAACTACAATAGCTTTACAGGTTTATGTATGCATTATGTCTCTTCAGTTACATTAAGTAGCATTTCCTGGGGGCCTTGCTGACTGGCAGAGACATCACAGTGTAGTCTCAACCCCAGAAATCTCCTCATCAAACTCTTCTTTGAGCTGCTACCATTTTTTCAGGTTCGGGGAGGGTGAAGAAAAGTACCAAAAGCAGGCAGATAGATAAGAGGTCTATTTTTATATATGTATTGCTGCAAAGCTGAAGTGAGGCCACTAAATTACAACAGTAATTATGAATTAGAGCTTATAATAAATTTAAATTGTTATATTTCCCAGTGGAAAGCATTAGCCTAAGACCACCCCCCAACTTTCCTAGCTTAAAATAAACAACAACCTGGTAATGTGTATGTGAGTTTTATCCTGGATATTTTGCTTTGAGGTTGAATGTTCTGTTGCAGGAAATGTTCTGAAAAGACAATTGGCATTTATGTTTAACCCATGGTACCTTATAGTCTAGTTACCAGGCAACAGGTATTACATACAGAGCAAAGCATAAAAGAAAGAAATCAAAACACATTTTAGATTTTCTTCCTTCATGTTAGAAAGGTATTCCATAATATTATGTAGCCATAAAAAGGAACAAGATCACGTCCTTTGCAGGGACATGAATGGAATTGAAAGCCATTATCCTTAGCAAGCTAATGCAGGAGCAGAAAACCAAATACTGCATGTTCTGACTTATAAGTGGGAGCTAAATGATGAGAACACATGGACACATGGTGGGGAACAACACACCCTAGGGCCTGTTGGAGAGTCAGGGGTGGGAGGACGGAGAGCATCAGGAAGAATAGCTGATGGATGCTGGGCTTAATATTTACTTGGGTGATGGGATGATCTCTGCAGCAAACCACCATCACCCACATTTCCCTATGTAACAAACCTGCACATCCTGCACTTGTACCCCTGAACTTAAAAGCTGGAAATAAAAAAAGGTATTTCATAAATATATTTACTTCTCAGACTGGATTTGGATGAAAAATTGTTTTGTGATTACTGTAATGAAAGCAATGGAAGAACAGTAGATTACTGTCATCTTTTGCTAATGCTGTTACTTGTCAAATATACATAGACAAGGGGCCCATGACTCATATTTACAGAGTGAGAACACACTGCTTCTCTCTCTCCTCACCTTAAAGTGAAGAGTGCTGTGTATTTTAAATGCAAACTCGAACACCTAGAAGGCAATTTCATAGAGGTCAAACCGTAGCAGTTTCCTTAAGACAAAATACCTGCTCATTTCAGTGCACATTATCAGGTATTGGTCATTTTCAACAACAAAAGGTCATTTTTTTTTCACTTGGAGGAAGCTAAAATTTGCTTTAATTTTTATTTTTAATTCATGCAACTGGAATTAGGGTCTGGCTATTTCTTCTATCAGTAACTAAATTCTAATGACTTAATTCTACTTCTCCCACCATCTGGAAAATATTATTCTAGCTACTAGGCATTCTCCTTTCCTTTGGGTGGTTGGACTCACTACCCTGGTTACTAGATAACATATATCATATATATGTGATATAAATATGATATATGGTTGTATATATGGGGGGGGGGGAGATCTTTTCTGAAACATACATCACCTCTAGGTCTTTCCTCTGCAGCTTCTTGCCCTGTGCCCTGTGTTTCTGTTCTGCATTCTCAGACATTACAACATACACTTCTTGTGTGTCTGTCCTGGAACTGGTATCTTGCTTCCCCTAACTTCACCCCCAGGAAGTTTCTGCTTTTGCCCTTCTCTCCAATGCACAGGATGAGGAGGTAGGGTTGCTGCATTTCCTTATACCCTAATCCAGTTTCCAACCTGTTGTTTCACCACCTTTTCTGGATTATTCTCATTTGAATTTGATTTGATCTTCCACAAGCTCTTCTCCTGATAGGGTCTGAGGACACCTGTGGGCTTTAGGTCAGTGTTGATATCAAGGTTGACAGAATCCTTCTGAAAGTCATATTCTGCCAACAGAGGGTACTCCAGGTGGATGCAACGTTTCTGGAGTTCCTCAATCATTTCCTGGGGAGTGAGCCTTTTGTGCCTGGCTAACAGACCTCCACCCATCCATCTCATCCCTTGCCAATGTTTTTAGCAACTTAAGAATTTACTTCCCAATACTCTAGCCTTGCCATTTTTTAAGCACTTCAAATCAATACATTTAATATCCACTTCACCCTCACACCTACCTGCCAGCAAGCAACTCCATTTCCAAGCTAGCCTAACGCAGTTAACAACCACGGACTTTGAAATTAGGAAGATCTGAATTTAAATCTACATTCTACTACTTACTAACTGTAAGCTTGGGGAAGATATGAATTGAATTATTTCATTCATCCCCTATCGGCAGAGCACCAAGAGACTGCACAAGGAGTTACAGTAGAGTCATGAGACGATTGTGGCAATTTACCATGGTCACAACTGCAGTGGGTGATATGGTTTGGCTGTGCCCCATTCAAATCTCAACTTGTATTGTATCTCCCGGAATTCCCACGTGTTGTGGGAAGGACCCAGGAGGAGGTAATTGAATCATGGGGGCCATCTTTCCAGTGCTATTCTCGTGATAGGGAATAAGTCTCACGAGATCTGATGGGTTTATCAGGAGTTTCTGTTTTTGCTTCTCTCTCATTTTCTCTTGCCACTGCCATGTAAGAAGAGCGTTTCATCTCCCGCCACGATTCTGAGGCCTCCTCAGCCCTGTGGAACTGTAAGTCCAATTATACCCTTTTTTGTTCCCAGTTTCAGGTATGTCTTTGTCAGCAGTGTCAAAACGGACTAATAAAATGGGGATGTCAGAGAGGGTCTGGGAGAGTGGCCTGACATAGTGAAATGAATAAATTCGGTGTGGGACACCTCTTCACCCTTAATGGGTTATGAAAGCTCTTTTAATTTCGTTTTCCTTAAAAATCATAGATTAAAAAAATCTGTGTCACAAAGTTTATGAGGATTCAGTAAATTGTATAAACCCATGCCAAAGCATCAGGAAACTCATAATAAATAATATGCAAATGTTAATTATCTCCTTGTTCCTCCAAAGAGTCTAGAAATTCCTCTTCTCTATTCACAACCTACTTCCTTTTCCTCCCACGTCTTCACTTATCTCGAATCTATCATGATTTTAGTCTTTGGTTCTATGGAAATATACAAAGACCAATCACATGAGAGCAGAGGCTATTTAGTTAGAGCTTGCTGCCACAAGGGAGTCACCCACCATCAACTGTGTTTTGCAGAGACTCAAAGGCAGACAGAGAAATGGGAAAGCTTCACAGTGGAAGAAAGAAGGCTCTAGGTGTGCTCTGATTAGAGGCTATTGGCTTCGGTAGGCTGTAGGTGCGATAACGAGAAGTGACATCCTATGTAATTGGTTAGAGGGTCATATTTGACTTTTTCTGGTTGATCCTGAATTGGAAATAGCAACAAAAATTAAGGAAGCTGTTGGTCATTAATCAAGTCCCGGCCATTTGGGGCCGATTGTTATAGAAATTATTGTTTAGCTTCCTGGATTGTTACTAGAGATAGCAATCTGATTTCCTACAAGTCTAACTTACAGCAGACTGTCTTCCTGGGCTGGTTATTGCAGATAAGGGGTTAGTTTCCTGGGCAGGAGGCTACAGATTGTACAGCCTTCATATATGATTTGGCCATTGTCCATTTGTTTATTCAGTCTCTTACCTCCCTGAACCTCCTCCTCTATCAACCCCTTCTGTCTTAATTTTCCTCCCATCTATTTGCCAGATCATGACTAGCATACCACCATGCTTCCTGCAGCATCTTGAAGTCTCACTTGAATTTTTTTTTTTTTGAATTTTTTTTTTTGCCTCGATCTGGCAGCCAATTCTTAAACTGGTTGACTCCTGGTTTTACCCATCCTTGTCCTCAGGGCAGCCTCAGCCATTGGTCCAGGCCCTCATAAGTCTGCAGGAGAGTGGGTCCCACTGTTGTTCAGTTCTACATTCCTCCAGGCAGTCATGTCCCTGGTAAAAGAGGTGAGGGCTTTTTGGAGAAGCACCATTGAATATACTGGTGCTGACACAGACCAGTAGGAAAATCCACTGGTCTGCAGAAGCTCGAGCATGCCAGTCTCAACTTAAATGTTTCTCTAGAAAATTCCAGTCCTTCCTCTCATGACTTCATCCCTTTCCTGGAGCTAACCTCCCTGGACTTCTTCCCAGACTTTACCTGAAAGTGGCGCTAACTCTACCCCATGATGCTCAGTTTCCAATTACTTTGTTCTGAAGTCCAATGTGTTATCTTTCTGCTTTTCTCCGTGTGTTGTCACTATCATAAAGTGCTGCTTACGCAGTTCAACCTTTGCTGAGATCTTATTACTTTATCGTTAAACTCCCTCTGTGTGTGTAGCGCTCCTCACTTCTGAAAGTTGAAAGAATATCAACATTTACAGTCTGTCAGCATCTCATCACAGTTTTGACAGTCTCTCCCCAAGACCTCTTCATCTGGTGTACTCTTTCTTAAATATAGTACTTTAATTCATCTTATTTCTGCTAACTAGCCTCTCTATCCTCTAATAAGATTCCCATTCTGATTCATTCTGCCCACTCAATGTTTTTCCAACTTTCATATGCCTCTCTAAAAAAGTATGTCTCCTATAAAAAAATCCTTATGATTTTTTGTCTTGTTTTATTTCTTCCCCCCTTTGTATTATTTTGCTGCTAGATTACTGTACTGATAGTGGATAATTTTATCATAATTTCCCTCACAAATCTACAAAATATCAAAGGCTCTAAACTTATTTTCCAAATGTCTTTTAATGAGCCTCAGTTGTAATGCCCCAAAAATAAGATCTTTGCCAGTAAATGACCTTTTTTTTTTTGTCTCTTTGTATTGGATTTCTGGGCACTTCCACCATTTCCCAATATGTTTTAAATGATTTATTTGGTCCTTATAACTTTAAATCTCCACGTCACTTTGGTTACCTGAGGGGGTGAAAGACATTTTCTACTTTCTGCTAGTAACCTACATGTCAGTAGGCCTGGGACATCACTGACAGGTAAGGAAAGTTCAAACTGCTAGTTTAGGTTGCATGCATCCTGTGACTTGGCTATTTTGCAATTCGCTAGTGCCCCTGATCATCCTCGTACCTCATTCTTGTGAGAGGTAGCCACACACGGTGAAGTTTCCCACACATCATGTCCTCAGGGACCAGCAGAGACATTGGAGCTGAGCTCCAGGTGCTGCTCAATTGCAGAACACCTGCTCTCACATGAACACCCACCCTTTCAGAGGAGAGGTCTTCATTTTGTATATATAGCTACTTCCATCTTCCCTTCCGCCCACACAGAGCTATCCTACGTCAGTCATTTTCAGTTGCTACTCCACCACTTATTAGAGACACTATTAGACACTCACTAGAAGAGGGACTTTTGTTGCTATTCCTCCCTGATAAATACACACAGAACCAGTCAGCATCCTTCTCCTCCCTGACTTCAGGCCCAATCCTCATGACAATATGGAAATTAATTTCTGCAAAGTATCGTTAAGCAAGCTGAGTAAACATACTGTCTTGGGTGGGCTAACATTGCCATATAATCATATTGATAAGCATGTGTCACCTATTTTATCTAGGTAGTTATGGCAGCCTCTGTTCAAGACCTCCTCACACTTGCCTCTCATCTTCCTGAATCAGCCCCCGTGCCTGGGTGGCTACCGGTCTAGGCTGGCTCACTCTTGCCCACATATCTTCACATTCATTTTAGTTTGCTCACTTAGTCTGAAGTATGAAGGAAACGGAACAACTCAGTCTATCTATCTGTATCTCTATGTCTCAGTCTCTATCTCTAACCTATCTAATCCCCATTATTCCTGAATCCAGAAATTTTCTTTCATCCTAAATTGAATAGATTTGGGTCTGTACAAAAGGGGTCCCATGTAATATTATAGGCTGGGTAACCAATGTATAAGTTTCCACAGCAGTTCTCCAATAAGGAGTGTCCTAGATCACCAAAGTCTGGTCACAGAAAGTATAGCAAGGGCCAAATTCACTTTGTAATATACCACCCCTTCACACAGACTTTTTATACATCCTTTCTAAATTTTCAAGTTTCTCTATTAAAAAGCTGACTACTTTATATTTTTCACATACTTTATTTGCTGAATCTCTTCCTCTGACCTATCATTGCTTAAAAAATATCTACAGACATCTAGATTTATATCAATAACTCAGCTGCCGCTTCAGCATAGTACACACAAAATTTGGTTCATCAATATATGACATTCCTAGAAGACACTATTGAGAGACCACTTTATGTGTTGACAATTACCTCCTAGTATTTTGTCACTTTCCTGTTTAGTATCATGACCTTAGAGTGGTCTTAACAGACTCAGCTTGCTCCAGTGGACTTTAATCATTGTTTTCCCTTTTAATGCCCAAATTGTCACTACTTGGCCAGTGAGAGCCACCTTTTGTACTTTTTGACACTATTGCAGGTATCTCTAAGAGCAGCCTTGCTTTTTGGCAACAGCAAGCTTTTCTAGTGCTATTTTAAATTAGCTAGCTTTGAGACATGGTATTGTCTACTTTCAAATGAGCCCTGGTTCCTTTTCATGAAGACTTCTATTAAAGACCAGAATCTAAGTTCTATGGGTGTCCTTATATTGTCGTCCAAGGGTATTGTTGATAGACACAATGATACCGCAGGAAACGTTCTTAAGCTGCAGTAATGAACAATTGTATGGTACTAAAGAATTGTTCAGCACTGAATGAATAGTACTTCTCCCTCCCTCCTTCCCTCTTCCTCTCCCTTCATTTCTTCGTATTCCAGACATAAGCATGTGGACTATAGGGCCAGATTACCTGGGTTTGAATCTGGCTATACTTAGGAGCTTTGCAATCTTGGGGAAGTTTCTTGATTTTACTGTGCCTTGTTTTCTTTTCATCTGTATATTGCAGACAAGTATTGGGTCTTGTGTGAAAGGCTTCTGTAAAGACTAAATATGTTAATGTGAGTACCTTTGATACAATAGCATCTGTCATATAATAAATTTTCAATAAATATCCACTATTATTCTTCTTATTAAGGGGCAGAAGTTTATTGCAGGTGTTTGCAGTTTTGTTTTTTTTTTTACTTTCATCTTACTTTGCTCCAAAATGGGGAAGAGCTTATTATCATTTTTCACCCTTTTCTTAAACTATAAATTTTCCCCTTATCTACATTAACTTTGATCTATTTTGCTTTGTATTGACAAACCCAACTATGTTTTTAAATTACAGTGTTGCTCCCAAATTTGGAAGATCCCATTTGGTTTTGGCTCCTTATTTGATATCTGAGCACTCTTCTGACTGCCTAAAAAAAGAAAAAGAAGGTAGTCTAACTTATTCTTCCTAACCCAGAGGAACTCTGAAGAATGTAAAAGCCTAGAGCCCTTGATACTACAAATGGATTTCCAGGGCACTAAATGAAAAATAGCGATGAAAAGTAGAATAAAGACAAAAACTGTCTCTAGAGCCTTTTATTTTATGTCCTCTCCTAGTTTCCCCATTTGAGCTGATAGTGAGCCTATCGCCTATATAATATTCTGAAGTATTTTCCCTTTTATCAGTGCCAGTATCTATTTCTTCTGGAATTTTCTAAGCTCTAAGAGGAGAGAGAAGCATTTATGTTTAATTAATGATGTTAAACATAAGTGAGTCATTTGATCCATTTCTTACTGGCTCCCTCTCTTTTCCAGTTGTAAATCCCTTCCACTTCCCTCCCCTTCCCTTCCCTGGGCCTCTGTTTAGAGATTGCTTTGGTTGAGAAGATGGCGTCCACCTGATGTAACTCCTTCAGCTTTCTTTCCAACTCAGAATCCCCCAAGTGACTTCATTCGTCCTTCCCTCCTTCGATTTTTATCTCAGAGGAAGAGATGTTCCTTTCCTTTTCTAAAACTAGCCCCTCTGTCAACACACTGAATCCAGTGGAAATAAATGAAGGCCAACCCCATGAGAAAAGCAAAGGCTATTTATTCTGAGCTTGTATAGCAAGAGACTCAGCCACCATCACTTGCATTTTGGCAGAGACTCAAGGGCTGGCAGAGGAGTGGGAAAACTTTGTAATGAAGAGAAATGAACACTACATGTCACTTTCCCTTTTGAGCCTCTATGCCTTCAAAGGTCATCTGCATTCTCTGAGTCCTGAGCTGAAGAAACTCATCCCTCTTTGATTCTTCACTTTTTTGCCCCCTTTCTCCAAATAAAAGTCCATTCCTGTAATGGGAACTTTGGTCTTTTATTGGCATTATCAGCATTTCTGTTTGTTTGTTTGTTTGTTTCCCTGAATAGATCAAAAGTTCCCTGAGAACAAGGAACACATCTATCTGTCTCTCTCTGTGCCCCATGCTGTCTCTCACACCTGGCTGAGCGGATACCTTTTTTTAAGTGGGTGATAGTTTCCATGAAAATACAAGTATAAATTAAAGAATAGTGTTCATTGAGATAATATGTATTATTACATTACTTTATTATTCCTCCATAGTAGAATATGCCTTAGATCAAACCGAGAATTATGAGAGAAGATACAATAGTTTATACATTATATATGTAAAGACTATCATGTAGAAATGAGTTAGAAAAAGAAACTTGCAAGGGAGTTGTTAAAATAAATAGAATAGTCTGATGCTATACTTTTTTTCTAACTAGCATTGAATAAACTGTTAATAATAACTGGAAATGGGAGATAGCTTGATTTTAAGTGAAGGAAAAGAGAAGTCTCCAAACACATTTAAATACAGATATTTTTATGCTTCTGAACTCTACTCTCCTATAAGATGGCATGTATTAGTATTTTCATTTCACCATTGAATCCAGTAAGATTCAGATTTCCTGAACTATGGGATTTGATTAGCCCCATATCCAGAAAGTATTGTTTACATTCCACAGCTAAAGTTTAAAAAATTATGTTAAAAATAATGTTTCATCTTTAGCATTTAATATTTAAAGGAGGAAATCCGAAAGTGTGTGACACTCCCTGATGGTCTATAATTACCACTCTGAGAAGCAGCAGAAGCTAATTATTTCAAAGTTTTGATTTTAATGAAACTTAATATATGATTAATGATGTTGACATTTCCTGCCACCAGGTTTGTTCTCCAAAGAGATAATTTGAATGTGATATGTATTTTTCAAAAAGTTCATTGAACCCTTATGGGCACAATCATATCTGATAATCATGAGTAGTGTTGAAAACAGAAAGTATAGCTGTGTTTTCCACAGACAACCTGTTTCAGCTGCCTTGTCAGGAAGAGGCCCTATGTGTAATCATTCTCATAGTAACAGCTAAGAGCCCAACCTGAACCTGAGGCAATAGGAACATTGATGGAGGGAGTGGAGTGGGAAGAAAAATAAAGAGAAAACTGGAGTTGATGTGTCTGATGGGTATTCTTATATTTTGGTTATAGACCTGTAATTAGAAATTTTCCTAATCAGAACTTCCAGTTAAAGTAATTGCCATGGTCACAAAGACTATACTGACAAAAAATTTTCAACAGAAAAATCTGTTAAAGAACTCATAGGACCTCAGCTTCCAAAACCATAGAATTTAGACATTTAGAACAGGTTGCAAGGTTGGAATGCAGCATTTCAGAATGGGTTTATGCTTCAGAGGGGAAACTTTGAACTGTGAGTCTAAAAGCCATGGTAGCAAGCAATAAAAGATTCTGCAAACCAACGTGAACGACAAATCCAAAGCAGTTTTCAGATATTACTCACCCTGGATGCAGCGATATGTTTGCAACATGAAACTTAGGTAAGTTCAGATGACCTAGGATAGGTTTCCTGTTGTCCCTTCAAGCTGAGGAAGTCATCTAAACTCAGCCTCCGTACTCCCATTTATAAACTGATGAGAAGTTTTCTTCCATGCTGCTGTGAGACAGAAATAAGATAATTCATGTGTAGAAGACTGCAAAGTGCTTTACAAAGTGAGGTATTATATGATTTGCTTGCTTATTTATTTATTTGAGACGGTGTTTTGCTCTCGTTGCCCTGGCTGGAGTGCAATGGCATGGTCTTGGCTCACTGCAACCTCTGCCTCCCAGGTTCAAGCAATTCTTCGGCCTCAGCCTACTGAGTATCTGGGATTACAGGCACCCACCACCATACCCAGCTAATTTTTGTATTTTTAGTAGAGACGGGGTTTCACCACGTTGGCCAGGCTGGTCTCAAACTCCTGACCTCAGATGATCCATCCGCCTTGACCTCCCAAAGTGCTGGGATTACAGGTGTGAGCCATCACACCTGGCCGATTTGCCTATTTTTTGAGCCACACTCTCAAAGGCCAATAGCATCCAATGTGAGAAATGTCATCTTTAAAATACAATCTACTGCCTCATGAGGTTTATACTTCTATGAAAATAGAAGAGAAAATAGAAAGTATTATGCAGATGCTTTCTTATATTTACCTTGCAATTCTCAGAGCCATCACAAGCCATTGAGAAGCTTCAGTGGCCTGGCCCTCGCTGGGCAGCAGAGGTCAAGGTGAAGTGTGTGAGACATGCCCAAGAGCTCACTCAGGCTCTACATCCAGGAGACCTGATTTGCATCTCAGCTCGTCTACCTACTGTGCAAACTTGGTCATTTAAGCAGCCTTGATTTGAGCGTAGAATGATGGTGATCATACTAGTACATATTCTACAGAGTTTTATAAAAAAATAAATGGATGATAGTGTGTAACTTGTTTGACCAAAACAGAGAAACGTATAGGTCAGAGATCCCTGCCTTCCAGGTTAATCTACAAAACTCATCATCTTAGATTTACCTCATTTAACTTTGCTTGTTTTATTACATCCATATTTCCAAGTTATTTCATTACATCCTTGCCTTTTAAAACAAGTAACTATGTATGCAATAGAAAAACTAATATATACAGATGATAATAATGTCAACAATTCAGTTTTACAATGAAATGCAGGCCCTGTGTCCCCTTGCCCAGATGCAAACACTGCTAACACTTTCTTATATATCTTCCCAGAAATATGATTTTATATGTGGATATTTGTATTGTGCATGTTTATGTATCAGTCCCTTTTTTCTCACAGATGGGAGCATATAGACATGATGTACCATGAACGATTTTTTTCCACGCCTTTACGTATTAAGACAGATAGATCCATGGCTGCATGGCACTCATTGTATGAATATGATATAAATAATTCAACTAGTCCTTTGTTGATTTGAAAGACATTTAGGTTCCTTGGGGATTTTGTTGTTAGCGTAATGACCAGTGCCACAATGGAGATCTTTATCGATCCTGGAACACGTTTAGCCTAGGTAGTAGAATATCTTTAAATTCCTAGAAATGGAATTGCTAGGTGAAAGGGTAGATGTGGTTTAATTGTGGATAGACAGATAGTACAAGTTGGATTCCAAAGAGTCTGTATCATTAATGTTATGATTATTTGTTTTCCCCCACGATTGTCAACATCACAAATTATCAAATTCTTTATCTTTGCCAGTCTGATAAAAGAAAAAAATGTATTTTTAAAAATTCTGAGGAGTGTTGAAAATCTTTTCACATGTTTTTGAGACATGTTTACTTCTTCACCTGTGGCGTGCCTATTCGTGTCCTCTGCATACATAGGAGAAATATGGTTTGATAGAGGATTCAGTAAAACATCAGCATATGAGACCAATACAGTAATCCAAATAATTATTGTATTAGTAACAAAATAAATAACATCACTCACAGAGCACATCTAATTTATCAGAGAGATATAATTAGATTTTGGAGCCTTTCTTTTTCATCATATTAGAAATATCAATTTGTGGGAAATTTTCATAGGCAGTTATTAATGTTTTACCTTCATAGAACATTGAAAATTGATTATTTGTGCATATATAAGGTGAGCTTTCACTGTGAGCTCTTTGCTTCAATAATTGTAACATTTACTCTATAAGATGAATCAGGGCTGTCCCTTATTATAAATGAAGTACTTTATTCTGAGCACTCTTTTAGAAATATTGCAGTCTGAGATATTCAATCATTTGGCTAGATGTAGCATCTATGCAGATGCTTTCTTATTTTTACCACGCAATTCTCAGTGATGCTATTTACTAGTAACTGAAGTTAGAGTCAACTATCGTATTTTGACTTGATTTTCACATTATTTAGTCTCCAGGCAGATCTTGGTAGTCCGTTCTTACTACAAAAGGATCTAGAACTACATCTCCAAATGGTGTGGACTGTGGTTCATGACAGATGACCAGTTTTTGGATATTATTTGGTGTTATGACAGCTATCACTTATTGTGTATCTATAATATACCAGCCACTAAAAGGATCCAGTGTTATTGATTCTTATACTAAGGCAGATATTGTGATACTAATTTTACAGATGAAATAAGTTTAAACATTATTAAATAATCTACCCTAGTAAGGGGTCAAGCTGAGTTCCATTAGGAAGGAAAAACTCTTTCCTTGACCTCTTGGTTTCAGTGGCAGCAGCCCTGAATATTGAACTGACAAAAAAATAGGATAACAGGAGAAAAAGGTTTATTTCATATGCATGTGGATGGGGTCTCACAGAAATAAAATAAAAACTGTAGAGAGGTGGTCAGACCCAAACACTTGGACACTAATTTTACAAAAGGGCAGGTCATGTCCTTTGCATACATAGAAGAAATAGGGATGCAAATTTGCGGAGAAATAACAAGACAAAGAAAAAGAGTTTTGAGCTTCTAGAGGAAGTAAATTGTGGAAAAATAAATGTGAGGAACTAATGGAAGATAAGGGTGATTTAGTAAAGTTTGTTTCTACGGCCCCATCTTGCTGCCAACTTTCTGTACTGTTCATGGCCATGAAAGTCCCCTGGGAAAAAGGATTCATGGCAGTCCTCGTTTCTCAGAAGTTTCTGCTCTTAGTCAGATAAGGGAGGTTCCAAGAAGGTTTTTTTCATCTCAAAATAGTCTGTATGCCAAAGTGGCATATTTTGGGGTGGCATATTCTGATTCCTTTCTGTTTAAATCCAGCTTTGATGGGCTGACCTGATTTTTATGCTCCCAGGGCCAAGTCAGGGCTGCTGCGATGAGGGCTGCCTACCAAAGGGCAGAGGGATGCCACGATGTCTGCTACGTTGTCCAACACGCTGCATGCCTCCATGGCCCAGGGAAGCTCATATCACGGCGTTTCCTGTAGCACACATCTTGCTATCAGTCTCTGTCTCAGTGTTTTTCTTTTATTTTGTCCTTATAATATGAGCATCTTCAATCATTAAACTTCAGTTGTTGATGCATACCCACCTTTATTTCCTGAACCTGCTGGGATGTGATGGAAATGTATACTGGGTGTAGATTCAGGTTTTATGAGAGTAGATGAAGTATCTTACATCCCAGAAATGAGCCCCAGGAAGACAGGTTGATTATGAATCACTGTAGCCCCTCACAAAGCTTGCCCATACAATACTGTATCCCAGGTGGTAACACTGGGCTTCTCTCTGGATTTCCCCACCTTGAAACTTTTTCCTCATATTCTGTTGGTGGGAGTGTAGATTAGTACAGTCACTATGGAGAACAGTATGGAAGTTCCTCAGGAAACTAAAAACATATAGTTCTCTACCATCTGATTCAGCAATTCCACTACTGGGTATATGTCGAAAAGAAAGGGAATCAATATATCAAAGAGTTATCTGCATGCCCATGTGTATTGCAGCACTATTCACAGTAGCGAAGATATGCAATCAACCTAAGTTCTCATCAATGGATGGGTAAATAAAGTAAATGTGGTATATATATATATGCAATGGAATATTATTCAGCCATAAAAAGAATGAAATCCTGTAATTTCCTGCAACATGGATGGAACTGGAGGTCATTATGTTAAATAAGCCAACCACAGGGAGACAAATATCGTATGTTCTCACTCATATGTGGGAACTAAAATTGTGGATCTCATGAGGATATGCAGTAGATTGGTGGTTACTAGAGGCCAGGAAGGAGAGAGTGGACAAAGTAGGGAAAAGGATATAAATGGGTTTATTACCATTGAACCTTACACTTAAAAATGGTAAAAATGGTACCTTTTAAAATGTTGTTTTTAGAAAAAGAAACTTTCCCGTAACCAGTCCCTGGTACACTCCTGCCCTCATCCTCTGGGAGACCGTGGTCCTGAGGTCTCAAAGTGGTTCCCTAAGGACCCACCAGAGGCGTTGCCCAGAAGACAGAGACCTTTCCAGCGAATGCATTGCTGACTGTTGAAACTTCTCCACTGATTTCACTCCTCAAAAAAAGAAAAAAAATATGTTTCTGAATTTTGCAAGCCTTTAAGATGTAAATCCTTGCACTGCATTTTCTTATAGCCCAAATTCATCTGAAGCCTTGGGTTGGGAGATTGTTTCTGTACATTAAATAGGGGTTAACTCTGAGATCCTGCAGGATCCTCTGCTTTCTTATGTGCAAAGTTCTGCTACTCCTGACAGTCAAGTCCCCTGCTGCCTGAACAGCTCCATCTTTTGACAACCCCTCTTTTAGCAACTTCCACGCTCAGCTGTGGTCATTCCATATGTTTTCCTGGGCCCTAAAAGCACCAAGCTCTCCCAGCCTCCATGCCTTCATGTCTATTGCTTTCTCCGCTGGGCACAGCCTTCTTCCTTGTCTCTCTCTCTTGGGTTTCACCTGAGGCAACCCCTCCTGCAGGAGATGTGCTCCGTTCACCTTGTTCCCTGTGAGGTACCTGTCCTGGGTGTTACCACACTGCCCAGAGCTGACCTCTGATATAGTACTTGGTATCTACGAGTGAACGTCAAGTATTAGTTTTTCCAGTAATGTAAGCAGTTTTTGTAAGAGTCTTATTTTACACAATTAGTATCACAAAGTCATTGAAAATTCCCATTAGAAATGTGGACTAGAAACACTTCAGACTTTAGCTCAGTCCATAATATTGAGCTGAGCCACTTGATGTAAAAGCTCTTTGTGAGTTTGGTTGTCTTTCCTTTTGTATTGTTATGTTTTGAAAGGCATTGCACTGGTCATTAGAGAAATGCAAATCAAAACCGCAATGAGACACTATCTCACGCCAGATAGAATGGTGAGCATTAAAAAGTCAGGAAAACAACAGATGCTGGAGAGGATGCGGAGAAATAGGAACGCTTTTACACTGTTGGTGGGAGTGTAAATTAGTTCAACCATTATGGAAGACAGTGTGGCAATTCCTCAAGGATCTAGAACCAGAAATATCATTTGACCCAGCAATTCCATTACTGGGTATATACCCAAAGCATTATAAATCATTCTATGAAGACACATGCCCATGTATGTTTATTGCAGCACTGTTCACCATAGCAAAGACTCGGAACCAACCCACATGCCCATCAGTGATAGACTGGATAAAGAAAATGTGGCACATATACACCATGAAATACTATGCAGCCATAAAAAGGGATGAGTTCATGTCCTTTGCAGGGACATGGATGAAGCTGGAAACTATCGTTCTCAGCAAACTAATACATGAACAGAAAACCAAACACCACATGTTCTCACTCATAAGTGGGAGTTGAACAATGAGAACACATGGACACAGGGAGGGGAACATCACACACTGGGGTCTGTCAGGGGGTGGGAGGCTAGGGGAGGGATATCATTAGGAGAAATACCTAGTGTAGATGACGGGTTGATGGGTGCGGCAAACCACCATGGCACGTGTATACCTATGTAACAAACCTGCACGTTCTGCACATGTATCCCAGGACATGAAGTATAATAATAAAAGGCATTGCTAAGTGAGGGACTTTGCCGCCCTAGTTTTAATCTATTAAGAATATTATGCACAGGGCACTCTAGGATTCTAGAAGTATTAACATCAAATGTCATGGATCTCTCAAAATATTTCTAGATGAATGAGTATTGAGTTCGGACTTTGGTCCGAGATTAATGAAAGTTGAATTGGGGGGTATTTTGAACAATATAAGACACACTCAATTTATGTGTGAATCAATCTAGCCTGGAAATGTAATATTAAACGTTGATTATGTTGCTTTGTATCTGCCGTGTCTCTTTCCAGGTTCAGGCATTAGCAATTATGTTTTCAGAGGCCTCAGTTTTCATTCTGTCTTGGGAATCAAGGGATGTTAGAAGGTCCCTTCCAGAGGGCAATTATTTTTTGGCATTTCCATGAGAGATGAGTTAAGACAAGGCTTCTCAGAGGTGTGCTTTGTTATTCTTTTTCTGATTGACCCTTTTCTCCCTATTACAACTTTGGTGAAGAAGGCAGCAGTGACATTTGTCCTTTGTATACATTACTGTCAAGTTTCTTATTCCATGTTTAATCCTAAAGATGTAATGGAGGGCAAGGTCTTTTGCTGCTGTCCAGGGGTGCCCATTTGGTTAGGCTGGTAATGCAAAACTTGAGACACCATGTCTTAATCGCTGCACGCTAAACTGTCGTCTCTTCTAGAACGCAAGCTTGTTTGTGTCAGGAACTGTGGCTCATTCATATTTGCATTTCTGGCAGCTGGCACAGTGCCAGTGTATGTCATGTGCTCAAGTGCTGAGTCAGTAATATTGAACAAATGCAGTGTGGAAATAGCATATCTGACCCAGTAGTACCCCACACCGAGTGAGTGTTCAAAAAAATATTAAACCAGGTTAAAGGATGAAAAAGAAGAAGGAAGTGGTTTGGGGTAAGAAGGGGAAACTGGACCAGGGGAGGAGAAGCTTTCAAATCTCCACTCAATTTGCTGAGGAAAATTGAGAAAGCCACTTAATTTTTCTTTGTTTATATTTCCCCATCTGTAAAACTATGAGATCATCTAAGATGACCTCCAAAATCCCTTTTTCCTCTAAAAGTATGTCTATGAAATGCCAAAAGATTGAGATAGGTGATGATGTATTTTATTAACATGTATGAAAAATGCTCATGTATAGCCACAGAATGTTTAGGTCTTTAGCTTTTTTTAAACGTCTGTCAATGTTCAATGGGTGGGATTTCTATTTTTTCAATCTGTCAATATTTAATAAAGGTCTACTTTGTGTGAAGACTGTGCTAATGCTAGAGATACAAAGAGGAATGATGATCAGTTTCTACCATCAAGAATGTGTGAGAGATCAGTGAGTTAAGAAACAACAGCCCTTCGGCATAAAAATGCTACAGTGAGGGATGTCCCTTGTGCTAGGGAGTCACAGGAAGGAGCTGCTGACTCTAGGGGATGACAGAGCAGGCAACTGGATTCAAACAATTCCAGGCTTCCAAGTAAGGGCCACAGCATATGCCAAGATTTGCTGATGTGAAAAGGCTCAATGTTGTCACAGAATGGAAGGGAAGGAGGGATAGGAGACACAAACAAGATTGTGACCACCATGTGAAGGTCACACACACCAGGCTTAGGAATTATTTTGAAACTAACTGGGAGCCATTAAACAACAAGAATATGGACACAGTTCTATTTGTACTTCATGGAAAAAGTTAATAATAATATGGCTGATGAAGGAACCATTTTTTTTTCTCTGAAGAGTATACCTGGATGCCTGTTGGAGAATCCCCTGGGTGCTTATTAAAGTGCATGTGCTTAGGTTTCAATCTAATTCAAGAGGATCATAATTTCAATGGGTTTGCCTCAGAAATCCACATTTTAAAAAAACTGTCTTACAACTTATGCAGTTTAAACTGTGGGAGCCACTAGGTAAGAGAATGGAGAGTTAGTGGCAGGAAACTCATAAACATTGAATCTCTGTGAGTCCCTTAGTAGCCGGTTGATCTTAGCTAAGATACTCAACACTTGTGAAGCTGGGTTTTCCCTTCTGTAAATGGGTTTAAGAGTACCTGCTTCATAGGGTTTCAGTAGGGATTAGTCGAGATAGCATACATAAAGCATCTAATGTACCAAGTTTGGGAGCACATTGCAATCACCTAGAGAACTTACTCAAACTCTGTGCATAAGGTGTAGAGGACTCAAGAAACTCCCCCGATGATATGGATTAGGAACCAGTAAGAATTAACTCCCCTTCTCCTAAGGCAGACAGTCAAGATATACAAAAGGGGATATCCAATGACCTAAATGATTCTTAAAGTTTTAATTCAGATGACTGGTTATATCAAAGTGTAGATGGAGAATGCAGTTCTATTTTGAATATGGTAGTGTCCCGTGGATCACCTGAGTGGAGATGACCAGAAGCTGGTACTGCATAGTGGACAAGGACCTCAGAAAAAAGCCTGAGGTGGTGATACAGAGTGGGCTGGCAAGTGGTAGCTGAAAAGAACATAGCCCCCCAGGAATGGATGAGGTGGAGGATAAGAGGAGGCTTCAGGACTCACCTTCACATAAACACCAAAATTTTAAATTGTTTTATGAAAAAGGCTGAGCACAGTGGCTCATGCGTATAATCCCAGCACTTTGGGAGGCTGAGTCGGGTAGATCACCTGACATCAGGAGTTCAAGAGCAGCCTGCGCAACATGGTGAAACCCGTCTCTACTAAAAATATAAAAATTAGCCAGGTGTGGTGGCAGCCACCTGTAATCCCAGCTATTCGGAAGGCTGAGGCACGAGAGAATCACTTGAACTTGGGAGGCAGAGGTTGCAGTGAGCCAAGATCACACCACTGCACTCCACCCTGGGTGACAGAGCGAGACTCTGTCTCAAAAAAATAATAAATAAATAAAACAAAAAATTTGCAGGAAAAAAAATGATTGAAGAAAATTGAAAAGAAATAGGAGTAGGAAGAAAACCAGGAGAGGGCTTTATTTGAGAAACACCCTGAAAAGAGACTGTCAAATGCCATAGTAAAATCAAGTGAGACAGAAAGTTGCTCTAACGCAGAAATTCTGTCTTGCCAATGATGGGCTCTTTGGCCATGGTAGCTGGTTGGGTGGCAGGTTGATTCTGGAGAAATATTGGTATCTTTGGCTTTGTATTCTTACCTGAAATGCCTAATAAAACCTCAGAGGCAGAAAGTAGTTCTTTACTACTCTTTGAGTGAGAAGAATACTTCCAAGCATCTCTTGTTCTCGAGAACTATTTTTTATATATACATCAAATGTACTATGCAAACTACAACTCATCACTGTGTTTTAAGGATGGCCACATATATATAACTATATAACTGTTCTCTATATATGTAGAACATTTATATTTATAGAACACATAAATATGTAGAACACATACATATGTAGAACACATAAATATGTAGAATACACATATGTAGAACACACATGTACAACACATGTATGTAGAACACACATATATAGAAAACGTGTAGAACACACAACTATGTAGAACACGTGTGAACACATGTAGAACACATATGTAGAACACACATGTAGAACACACGTATGTAAAACACATATATGTAGAACATATATATGTAGAACATACATACATATATATAATATATATGTGTGTGTATATATATATATGTTCATCTTGATAATCTAGAAATGGTTGTGTCCTGTGGAGAATCACAAGGATGGTTCTTAGTACAAAAACCAACACCCACTCCTAATAGTTTTCTTTCTAGTTGTTAATGATTGACTATTTAGTTACATCTTTATTCCTTGTTAAAGTTTTTTTTGCTTTTGTTTTGTTTTGTTTTTAGCAGCAGGGTCTCCTCTGTCACCCAGGCTGGAGTGCGGTGGTGCAACCATGACTTCCTGCAGCCTTGACCTCCTGGGCTTAAGCAGTCTTCCCACCTCAGCCAATGCATGCCACCACACCCAGCTAATTTTTTTTTTCTTCTAACTAGAGAGGCAAGGTCTTGCTATGTTGCCCAGGCTGGTCTTGAACTCCTGGGCTGAAACAATCCTTTGCTTAAACCTCCCAAAGGGTTGGGATTACAGGCATAAGCCACTGTGCCTGGTTCTTGATAGAGTTTTTAATATCAAGATGGTTATTCTTCTCTGGAGTAAGAACATTTCAGGATAAAATAATTTACATTTTGAAAGTTAAAATTCCAAGTGCACTGAACTTCATATGGCAGATGATGACAATTAGACCACAAACTACAACTCATCAGTCTGTTTTTTTAGGATGGCCTTTTTGCCTCCTAGTAAATTTGAAATATGCAGCTCTGTTATAACATTTTCAAGGAGTCAGCATATTTGAAATTCTCTATCTTGAGTTTTATTATTTGGAATTAGCTTCATTTAAAACTGTTAACAAATAATGAGGAGCTGTTCAGCACATTGTTCTGTTCTAGGGCTAATACAAGGAATTGCAGCTCACTATATTTTAAGTTTGAAATAGCAGTCAGTAAAGAACTCTATATTGTCAAAATATTATTCTATTTACTCATTTACTGAAGGAATCCACCAAATGAGCTATGCAGTCATATATATTTAAAAAATAAACTCATATAAAAGATGAGGCTGGTGCAGTGGCTCATGCCTGCAAGCCCAGCACTTTGGGAAGCTAAGGTGGGAGGCTCTCTTGAGCCTAGCTGTTCAAGACCAGCCTGGGCAACATAGTGAGACCCCGTTTCTACAAACAATTAAAAAAAAAAATTAGCGCCAGGCGTGGTGGCTCACGCTTGTAATCCCAGCACTTTGGGAGGCTGAGGCAGGTGGATCACGAGGTCAGGAGATCGAGACCATCCTGGCTAACACGGTGAAACCCCATCTCCACTAAAAATACAAAAAATTAGCCAGGCATGCTGGTGTGCACCTATAGTCCCAGCTACTCAGGAGGCTGAGGCAGGAGAATCGCTTGAATCTGGGAGGCGGAGGTTGCAGTGAGCCGAGATTGCACCACTGCACTCCAGCCTGGGCAACAGAATGAGACTCTGTCTCGGAAAAAAAAAAAGGCAGATGTGGTAACATACACCTGTGGTCCTAGCTACTTGGGAGGTTGAGGTGGGAGGATCACTTGAGCTAGGGAGGTCAAGGCTACAGTGAGCTGTGATCATGCCACTGCACTCTAGCCTGGGTGACAGAGTGAGACCCTGTCTCAAAAACAAAACACACACACAAAAAAACTTATATAAAAGATGGAAAGAAAAAGCTAATAACCAAAAGAGAATATAAGGAAAATATCAAGATCTTTTTTCAGCAGTGCAAAGTTTCAAGCAGAGATTGGGCTGTAGTTTTTAGTTGTAGGTTTTCCTAAGCCAGAAGGAGGGATGGGGGAGGATTTAAGGCTTATCTGAAGGAGTATATGTCAGGATCTTTAAATAAATGATATCTTCTCTCATTTTGATTAGACTAAAGAAGTCAGTTAACTTATCCACGTACAAACAGGGACCAGGAATCCAGTCCCTGACTCTTATGACTGTAGCATGACCCCGTGTTTTCACCTAAAGGAAGAACAACTTTGAGCCGCAGTACCTTTATCTTTAGTATGCATATACTTAGCAGCCGCAGTACCTTTATCTTTAGTATGCATATACTTAGCAGATACTTGTGACTTTCAGAAACCAGTCAAAGCCCTTCCCAGCAAATGCTTTTGAAAAAGTGGGGCATGAACAACCTGAGTAATTTTATTTCTGATCAGAACAATGTGAGGCCGGGCACATGGGTTCACACCTGTATCACAGCACTTTGGGAGGGAGGGGGGAGGATCATTTGAGGCCAGGAATTCAAGACCAGCCTGGACAACATAATGAGACCCTGTCTCTAAAAATTAGCCAGATGTGGTGACACATGCCTGTAGTCCCAACTACTCGGGAGGCTGAGATGTGTAGATCACTTACGCCCAGCAGTTTGAGGTTACAGTGAGGTAATATGGCACCACTGCACTACAGGCTGGGTGACAGAGTGAGACCCCAACTCTAAGAATAATAAAAAGAAAAATAAATGCTATGTGACTATAATAAAATAAGAATTTCTGACTTATAACTGGCTTTTGAAGTAATTTAAGAAGAGCTTCCCATAAGTTCTGAGAGCTTTGGGATGGCAGGGAAGGTGTAGGTCTGTGGATGTCTTCTGCCTATTCTCATTACTCCAGGTAAAAAAAGCCCTCGAGGTCCAGGCATTGGGAAATGTGTAAACTGTAGCAAGGGCTAGAATTTGTAGAGGACCAGAGTCCATGCTTGCCAGCATGAAAGGGTTCAAATTCAATTTAAAAAAAAACAACAACTTGAACCCAGCAGGCGGAGGTTGAAGTGAGCCGAGATCGCGCCACTGCACTCCAGCCTGGCGACAGAGCAAGACTGACTCTCTCTGACTCTCTCTCTCTCTCTTCTCTCCACCTTCTCTCCCCCCTACTCTCTCTGTCCCTCTCTCCCAATCTCTCTCTCCCCCCCACCCCTTTCTCTCGCTCTCCCCCCACAACCCCCACTCTCTCTCTCTCCCTCTCTCTCCCTATATATATATATATCTCGCCATGCAGGCTTAACACCCTTACCTATGGAGTCAGCCCAGTCACCATCATTTAGATCCCTGCTTTACAGTTACAGCACATTGGTGTATAAATAGTTATTTTAGAATGTAGTAAGATTGGAAAATAATAAATTAGAGTTCGTGCTTACTTTTATGGATGACATAGGACCACTTTCTGGAGGTGTAGGATGTTTTCTAGCCTTATGCTCAGTACACATTTCACAGCACTGGTAACCACCCCGTGGGTTCTTCTCGCCTCCTACCCAGATAGAGCCAATTTATTGAGACGCGGGAATTGCCATAGAGAAAGAGTTTAATACACATAGAGTTGGCTAAACAGGAGACCAGAGTTTTGCTATTACTCAAATCAGCTTCTCTAAAATTCAGAGGCTACGGTTGTTGAAAGATATTTAGGCAGGCAGGAGCCTAGGGAATGGGGAATGATGATTGGTTTGGGTCAAGGATGAAATCACAGGGAGTTGAAGCTGTCCTCTTGGGCTGAGTCAGTTCCTGGGTGGTGGCCACAAGACCTGATCAGCCAGTTAACTGGTCTGGGTGGGGCCAGCTGGTCCATCAGAATGCAGACTCTAAAAAATACTCAAACATCAATCTTAGGTTTTATAGTAGTAATATTATCTATGGGAGCAATTGGAGATGTTAGGAATCTTTTGGCCTCTGGCTGCCTGACTCCTGAGCCATAATTCTTAATCTTGTGGATGATTTGTTAGTTTTAAAAGGGAGGTGTGGTCCTCAAGCAAAGAGGAGGTTTGTTTTAGGGAGGGGCTATTATCATGTTTACTTCAAAGTTAAACTATAAACTAAATTTCTTCCAAACTTAGTTCAACCTACACCCAGGAAAGAACAGGGCAGCTTGGAGATTGGAAGCAAGATAGAGTCGGTTAGGTCATATTTCTTTCGCTGTCACAATTTTTGCAAAGGTGATTTCACGCAAAGTATGCACTTTACAAACTTACTTTGTTTTTAGCAAAAAGTAATTGAAATCACTTTTGCTTAGCGTGCAAATTCGTTTTTTAATGGAAATTCTGTACTGCCTTTGTTCATTCTAAAGAAATCATCTTGCTTTTTACTCACATGAGGTGACATTATCTGGATTTATTCCTTATTTTGGATTTGGACTGAAAGCTCTTTTTACATTTTAACCGGCTGTCATTTGCCTGAAAGTAGTGGTGAAGGGTGCCTCTTTAAATGCATTTACAACAAATTGCTTTGTTGTGAAGGGGAGAGTAAAACTGAAATTGGTTGTGTTTCCTTCTCTCTGTGTCAAAATTGTATTTTCCATTTTATGCATCTGGTGAAGATAAAGATTTTGATGCTTAACTGCAAAGATCTGACTCTACAGGGATGTACTTACTCTCTCTTTTTTGAAAATATAATGATTTCACAGTCTCCTGCCTTGAACACACTACGTTTGGTAACTTTATTTCTTGTTTTATCAAGTCATGTATGACTTTTCTGCTTCTTCCTTGCCTGCCATAATCATCTTCTGACCATCTGGGAAACCTCTGATCCTCTATGCAGAGTCCATTTAAACATTTTAGTACTAGAAGAGTGAAAATCTTGTAAAAATATAAAATTTTTTTCTATTATTACACTGGGAGCAAAAATAAAATGTTTAAATGTGCTTTCCTGCTGAGTAAGAGTTTTAGAGATTACAGGCTTGTGTGCAGAATTCTGAATGGGGGCAGCAGTTCCTATGCAGCTCGGGAACTGGAGAAAGGCTGCAGGCATTGTCAGCAAAAGGGACTGGAGTGATTTGTTGTATTCCCTTTATTTTCAGAATAACTCCTGATAAATATTAGAGAGGCGTATTCACTCTTCAAGGCAGTGGAACAACCTGCATGTATTTTGGGAGCAATTCTTGGAAGGGATTTCTGTTTTAAAATCAAGACATTAGCCTTTGGGATGTCAGATTCCTATTGATAAATTGAGGAAAGTGACTATCAGGTGTCAACTTTGGAAACTACAAAAAAAACAGTTACCTAAAGGGAGGGTAATGAAAATAACTGAGGATATAAATCACCCAGCCTCAGTTTTACGAGCCACACATGTGACTTTTATATTTCCATTAATCACAAAGCTCATAATTTTATGATACAAATATCAGCAACGGCCGCCTGGAGTTTTCTTTTTTTTCCCCTTGTCTCTATTTTCAGTTTCTTCCTTTATCTGTTTTGTTTTCTTTTAATTAAAGAATAAAGCATTTCTTTTTTCGTGAAGATTTATGTTAAATAATTATAACAATAATAATTTATTGTAGTCTTAGTACATATTTTTGTTCATTCAACAAATATTTATTGACTAAATGCCAGGCATGGTTAGACATTGTCTAGTGGGAGAGAGAGACTGTCTGCCCTTGTGGAGCTCAGAGTCTAATGGGGAAGACAGATAATAAACAGTAATATAGATAGGTAGATAAATAGATACATACATACACACATATATATACATATGTATTAGTCCACTGCTATAAAGAACTACCTGAGACTGGGTAGTTTATAAAGAAAAGAAGTTTAATTGACTCACAGTTCTGCATGGCTGGGGAGACCTCAGGAAACTTACACTTGTGGCAAAAGGCAAAGGGGAAGCAAGGCATGTCTTACATGGCAGCAGGAGAGAAAGAGTGAAGTAGGAAGTGGATATAAATAACACTTTTAAACTATCAGATCTTGTGAGAACTCACTCACTATCATGGGAACAGCAAGGGGAAATCCACCCCCATGATCCAGTCACCTCCCACCAGACCTCTGACAAGTGGGGATTACAATTCAAGATGAGATTTGGGTGGGGACACAGAACCAAACCATATCACATAGATATATAGCTGATAAAAAGACAGATGCTATAAAGTGATAAAAGCTGTGAAAAGAAGAAAGTGTAGCACAAGCACAAAGAAACCAATAGGAAGAGAGAGCAACTGTGGGCATCTTTAAATCGGGTATTCAGACAGCCCTGACAGAGTCTGTGGATTTTGGACAAAGACTTGAAAAAGGTAGATATCTGGGGAAGAGGGTTCCAGGTGGAAGAAGAGTGGTGACATGGCTGGCATATTTGATGAGTAACAGGAGGACTGTGCAGCCAAGGCAGAGTGAACAAACGTACATTAGATGAGATCATTTATACCAAGAATGTATGGTATGCCTAGTGCCTGGTGCGGAGTCAACGCTCCAAAGCTGTGAAGCCCCGGCTCTGCCTTCAGCCAGCTTTCACGCCAACCCCACCCATCACACATGCAGACACTTCCCAAGGTAACCAAGGGCTCGTGGCTTCTAGATGGTCTGTGGAATTTTTGTAATGTTGACATTTGTTGTGTTAATGCCTGTGGCTTTCATAATGCTACTTTACGTTGTACCATCTCATTGGTGTTTTGATGAGCAGGGTTTCTTTTTGCCTCTTAACTATGGTGAGGTTTTCAGTTAAAAAAGAGAATCCCTACACAACTGCGTAGGGGTGAAGAGAACTTTCCCTTCACCCTCTAAAGGATTATTTAAAAGTCAAGTCACAAAAGGTTGATTAATTGGAGAAAAGGAGTAAACATTTATAAACGTGCACACAAGGGAGAATCACAGAGTGATTACCCCAACCACCAGGAGAGTGTAGAAGCTTATATATCATCTTGATGTACAGAAAAAATGGGGGTTCAAAAACAGGTAATGATGGCAGAACAGGTTATGGGAGGGAGAGAAGAGGAGGCCTGGCTGGCAAAGGTAGCAGCTATCAAAAAGAATAGATGGGGCCGGGCGTGGTGGCTGACACCTGTAATCCCAGCACTTTGGGAGGCCAAGGTGGGTGGATCACCTGAGGACAGGAATTCAGGACCAGCCTGGCCAACATGGTGAAACACCGTCTCTACTAAAATATACAAAAATTAACTGGGCATGGTTGCAGGTGCCTGTAATCCCAGCTACTTGGGAGGCTGAGGCAGGAGAACCACATGAACCTGGGAGGTGGAAGTTGCAGTGAGCCGAGATCATGCCATTGTACTCCAGCCTGGGCAACAAGAGTGAAACTCCATCCAAAAAAAAAAAAGAGAGAGAGAGAGAAAGAAAGAAAGAATAGATGGTAAATGCTTTTTTTCTTCTTAAACCTTTAAAGGTGTCAAACTCTCCATTATTTTTTTTTTAGAATGGGTCAAGGGGAGGCCTGGCTGCATCAATTTAGATTTTCTGTAGGTGTCAAGTCCCCCACAAAAGACAGCTTTGCAGAGTTACTTCTGTTTGCTGGGTCTCTGAGCAAGCAGTCTCAAACTATGTCAAAGAAATACACTTTGGGGTAAAATATTTTTATTTCTTTCGGTTGATAGTAGAATGTTTTGTCCTACTGCAAATAGTTAGCAGATCTCCGATGAGAGGGAATTTTGAGAATTTGGGAATCAGTTTCAGAACCTCTGATGAGAGGGAATTTTTCCTGCATCCTTTTCTGTCTTTGAAGTAGTGGTTTTCAAGTTAGCTGCATGTTAGAATCACTTGGAGAGCTTTAAAGAAAATATTGCTACCCAGGCCCCACCCCAAATCAATTAAATCCCAACCTGTGGGAGTGGGACCTGCTATTAGATTTTGAGCTCCCCAGGTGATTCTAATGGATGCCAGGGAGGAGAACTCCCACTGGTCACCGAGGTTGATGCTAAGTATATTTATTTTTTTCTTATGATACGTTGGCTTCTGCCTCTTCATATTATCATGTCTCAAAGGCTCAGAAGACCTTGGAACTTTCTGCAACACTTCTCAATCTTCTCATTCCAGCTCTATTGGTGACTGGTTCATAAACTCCAGGTCCAGAAGCAGAGCTGGCTCATGACCAAGCTTTGCTGTGTGCAGCAGCCTTCTCAGTTGCTTGCTCTGGGCAACCACTCTTCAGATGCAGCCCCGCAGGGCTCTGAAAGCAGAGTGTGTCCTTCAGCACCCCCTTTCCTGAAGATGTAGCTAGCTCTGCCGGGCTGCCTCCACCACTTTCATGGCATCAGCTAACCATAGTGCTTCCATTTTCATCAGGAGGCTTATGCATAAGCTTATATTTAAAATGTGGTCAGAAAAATGTCTACAAGTAGATATTTGAGCTATACTTCATGTTGCACTGTTCAACATAAACCCCTAATTGACCCACTTCTAAAAAATCACCTGCAATATAATACCGTCAATAAATGGATGTTAATTTTTTTGTATTTATATTTTAAACCTATTCATACATCTCAGTGTATGTGTGTTGTAAATCAAAGATGACCGTGGCAAGTCACAATTATTTTAAGAGGTTTATTTGCCAAGGTTAAGGACATGCCTAGGACAAAAGAACACAAAATCATAGGAAAAATCTGTGGTCTGTGCTTTTTTCCAAAGAGAATCTGAGGACCTCAATATTTAAAGGGAAAAAAGCAGGTATTGGGGGAAAGAGAAAGAAGAAAAATCTTTTTAAAGGGTGGTAGATAAAAGTGGCAAGAGGTTGCATCCTTTTTAGTCTTGGATCAGCATTCTCTGAATCTACATTTTACATGTGAGAGGGGGTAGAGGAATAGTCACATACGCATTCAACTTGTCCTCAGTGAATCTGCATTATTACATAACCTAAAATTAACAGAGGGTAGAGGAGGCAGTAAGATAGGCATTTGTCTCGGGTGAGTGGAGAGATGACTTTTCAGTTCTGTCCTTTGTCCCATACCTGAGAAGATTAACGATGAATTTACACGGTCAGGGTAAAATTCACCAGAACTGCTTTAGGGTAAAGATTGTGGGGCCAACCAGGAATTCCCTTGTGGGAAAATTGTGAGGGAGGTATATACCCTTTCATCTCTGTAGCTGTCTTATTTAGGAACAAAACTGGGGGGCAGATTTGCATGACCCAGTTCCCAGCTTAACTTTCCCCTTTGCCTTAGAGAGTTTGGGGTCCCAAGATTTATTTTCCTTTCATAGTATATACACACACAATCATTTGTATGCACACATATACACTTATGGATGTGTATTTGTAAGTATCAGTATTTATTTATAGGGACTATATATAATCTTTCCAAATAATCAGTCTGGAGGTCAGCTGAACTTTCTTAGACTCTTTTTATCATGCAGTTGTGTGTTTTTTCAATGAAGGTGAGAGATGTTAAAATGATACTGTGTTGATAATGTTATAATTGAAGCTCTGGGATTCTCTCCCTGGCAAAATAAAAAGTGGGTGATTCAGTATTGTCTTCAGGTTATTTTTCTTTAATTTTGCTGGTCCATGATATTTAAAAACAACCACAAACAACCCTGGGAACTGTAAGTTAGGCTGGAAGCCCCCATGTTCGAGGAGGGCTTCTCTGGAGCCCCTCCTGCCCCAATTCTGCTCATAGTCCAAGTCCCTCAGTGACATCAGGGGAGACTGAAATCAGCAAGACAGAGTCACTTGCCTCCACCCCTTTCCCCAGAACATCCCAACACTAGGTGTAATTTCATGATTTAGCCTCTCCTACCTCTGTGCTAAAATAAAGTATTACTTTTCTCCATCCCTTTCTTCCCTTTTCTCTTCTTGTTCCCCCTTTTTGAAGTAAAAGCAACATTCCCACAATTTAAAAAAGTTATAGCCTAGATGAAGTGGCTCATGCCCGTAATCCCAGCACTTTGGGACGTCAAGGCAGGAGGATCACTTGAGCCTAGGAGTTAAGGACGGCCTGGGCAACATAGTGAGAGACCCCATATTAAAAAAAAAAAAATTAAAAAATCAAAAGCCCCAAAAAGTTATAAAATCCTTTTTCTTGACCAGCACACTTGACATTTCCCTTTGGCAGGCATCCCACATCCCACGTCGGGATTCACAAGGTACGAGATGGTTCCAGGAACCAAGATGCAAACTAAGAAACCAGTTGGCCTAACGAAGTGTCGAGGCTTGCTGGTCACAGAGCTCTCCTTCTCTCTCCCGTCAGCACACTTGTCTGGCAGCTGGCCCAAGAGTGTCCAGGTTCTGGTAGTGCCCACTGGCAGCGTTTGGCAGGTGTGACAGCAGAGGAGTCGGAAAAATAGCAAATCTGGCCTCCCCTCCCGCAGGAGGAACACGGCGGGACTCAGGGTGCTGGCTCTGTAGAAGAACATGCCCTCTGCAGGCCATCCCACCTCTGGTCCTCTTTTTATCCTGGGCAAAGAAGTGTCTTAATCCCAGCCTGTCTGAGCACCGCCCTTTCTTCTACACTCACACTCTCCTTCACAGCCCCAGGGCACGTCATTTTGTCCTACACAATGCCATTATTACTCCCTTTTTGTTTGTCTTCTTAGGCGAGCCACTTTTAAAAAATATTCCAATGTTCCTATTCCAAACCTCTTCTCCCCTTTCAAGCTCAGATAAAGGCACCGATATAAGCAAAGCTTTTTTATGCCTCCTTGACTAGGTACCCAGTACTAAGTTCCCAGAACTGCAGTCCCATGAACAGTAGCATTCAGAGGCATTGAGGAGCAGAGGGAAAGTGACTTGTCACTGATCCCCCATTGAAAGGGCTGGCATCCTGGTCAGGCTGACAGGCTCTCAACCCTTCTTCCTCTCTGTGGAACATTTCTCTGGCATTTTTCTCAGAAATCTCATGAATGCCCTGGAATAGAGAATAGAGTTTATTTTGAACATGGAACATGGCCAGGTTTTTTTTTTTTCCTTTGAAATGAGATTCTTAGCTATGAACCTATTTCTTTTTTAACTACCTTCTGACCTAGTTCATAATATTACCACCAGAAGCAGAACTAACAAAGAACATGATTCTTGCTTCAAGAGATTGAACAAGTAATAGGACATAGAGTTTTAAAAAAAAATCACCATTCATTCTGAGATGAGATAACTTGCCTCAATTTGAACTTCTCTTTATAACCGTTAGGGATGTAGGAAAGGGAAGAGACTTATATTTTTCTAGAGAAAAAGTGTTTACAAATTCTTGAATATTTCCCAATTATAGGTTCTTTTATAAAAAAATGAAGTGAATGTGTTAGATAATTTAAAATTATTAAATGTTATGCATATGTGTGTTCATTCACAACAGCAAAGACATAGAATCAACCTAAATGTTCATCAATAGTGGAGGCCAGGCGCAGTGGCTCATGCCTCTAATCCCAGCACTTTGGGAAGCTGAGGCAGGTGGATCACCTGATGTCAGGAGTTCGAGACCAGTCTAGACAACATGGCGAAACCATGTCTCTACTAAAGATACAAAAAATTAGCCGAGCATGGTGGTGGGCGCCTGTAATTGGGATTACAGCTACTTGGGAGGCTGAGGCAGGAGAATTACTTGAACCCAGGAGGCAGAGGTTGCAGTGAGCCAAGATTGCATCATTGCACTCCAGACTGGGTGAAAGAGCAAGACTCTGTCTCAAGAAAAAAAAAAAAAAGTAGACTGGATAAAGAAAATGTGCATATACACCATGGAATACTATACAGCCATAAAAAGAATGAGATCATGTCTTTTACAGGGTCATAGAGGGAGCTGGAGGCCATTATCCTTAGCAAACTAACACAGGAACAGAAAACAAAATACCGCATGTTCTCACTTATAAGTAGGAGCTAAATGATGAGAACACAGGGACACGAAGAGGGGAGCAACAGACACTGGGTTCTGCTTGAGAGTGGAGGGTGGGAGGAGGGAGAGGAGCAGAAAAAATAACTAATGGGTAGTAGGCTTAATACCTGGGTGATGAAATAGTCTTCACTATAAATCCCCATGACACAAGTTTACCTATGTAGCAAACCTGCACTTGTAACCTTGAACTTAAAATTATTAAATGTTAAATAATCTAAAATTATTCAATAATTAATAAAGTTTATATATCACCTCAATGTTAATATAGAATTATTATCTAATTATTCATCTAACCAGAGATGATTACAAGGCATAAAATGAGAAAAAGTTGAAGAGAGGTTTCAAAAATATCTCGTATAACCATCTCCCCAGTTCAGGAGACCTGTTCTTCCAGCCTCAACCGAAAGCCATGAAGGTGCCTGCAATAGTGGAGGGCCCTCTGCCAGGAGAGAATGTGCTCCAGTAACAGAGCACACTGTTTCCTGAAGGAGCCCCTCCACTGTTGAGGTTTCTGTTATAAGCTCTATTGGGTACAAAATGGCGTCTCAAAATTTGCTGCCCCCAAAATGGGCACTCATTTTATGCGTGCTTTGTGCTTAAAATACAGTAAATCATTTAATGCTCAAATACTAATGACAACTGGCATTTATTACATAATCACCATGTGCTAAGCACTGTGTTAAGCACTTTACATTTATTGTGGCATTTACTCCTTACATAAATCCTGTGGAATACAATTTCCCCTCCTTTTTCCACACGAGGAAACAGGTATAGAGGACTTAAGTAACTTACGCAAGGTCACCATGGTAGAGAATGACTGACCGAGGATTCAAGCCCAGGCCCATTTGACTTCAGGACCCAAGCCACTGGTTATACTTTTCACTTCAACCCTATTAAGTGTATGTTGAATTCCTATATACAAAGAACTGAGGCTGTCTTATCAAACTAATTTTCCCGAGGTAAGTGGAGTCTTAAAGCAGATCTCTGATTCAAATCTTGTGCTTTATGCCATCATAACCCAACCAGAATGCAGCAGAGAGCATCAAAAAATTAAAGGAGTGGGGCATGGTGGCATATGCCTGTAGTCCCAGCTACCTGGGAGGACTGCTTGAGCTCAGAAGTCCAAATGCAGTCTAGACAATGTAGCAAGATCCCTTTTCTTAAAAAAAAAAGTTATCCTCCAGTAAGTTGTCAAGGCAACTGCCGTTGAGGACTTGAGGATCTCAATACCCACTGGAACTGCATTATTATTTCAATTCAATAATATAAATATTGAATCCTAGAGCTGCCGAGGATGTTGAAGACTCTTCCCCAGGCAAGGTAAGTGAGTAAGCCTGAAGGGTAGAAGGGCATTTTTCTTCTGTATTTCCCGAACGTCTAGCATAATTTTTAAATCATTGTAGGTACTCAATAAATGTTTGTTGACACACTAAATATATCTACCAAGAAATTTATAATTTCTTGCATATTTAGGCAAATGTCCTTTCCGGTATTGTTTATTGATTTAGACTCCATGTATTTCCAAAAGGAATTTAAAGTGTCTTAATTTCCAGTAGGTTTTTATTTTTATTTGAATCATCTGGTGTTGATTAATTAGTTAAGTTTTGGTGCCTACCTTATAGTGTTTGTTTTCTCTGTTAAAAGCCATGACAGCATAAATTCCCCACTGCAGAGGCTAAACATCTGACAGAGCCAGAGAAAAACACCATCCCAGGAGTTTTTAGTCATCCACAGCAGTGGGGCAAGTCTGGCTGTGTGTTAGAATACGGAAATCCTCAAGTGAGTAACTGCTTGGCCAAATGGTGTGGGAACACAATAAGGAAAATGCACAGCTCTTCTATGTGTTGTATTTCATTTACAGAAATTAGGAAGCATTTTAGGCTGCAGTGACAATTCACTGTTAGATTTTTAAAATGATTCTATGTAAAAATGCAGCTTTCTATCAGTTGGCATACAATAGGGGCTAACAAAGCCTCCACTCCAACTTAGAAAAAAAAAAAGCTTGTGATCAGAGTTAAATTAGTAAAACAATTAAAATCAGGAGCCATCTGTGGGAGAGAGTCAGGAGATCCATCTTTAAATATATACCTGAATACTTTAGAGGCACCCAATACTCCAGTCAAGGTGATATGGGTATACTTTCAGAAAAGCAGAGCTATTCCATGATTAGAATTTGAAATGGGAAATGGTATCTTATTTGGAGGGAAAAGAAGAAAAGAGAAAGAAGGGATAGGAAGAGAGTTAGTCTGCCATGGAAACACATAGAGGCACAAAGGCAAGCCCTAGTTCGGAGAGAAGGAGTTTTCCTGGAGGGAACTAGAGGACACTTGGGCAAGTTTGTTCCTGTAATAGGTGAGGTGATTCAAGCTACCTTAGATCAGAAACACTTCTGAAGACCAATGATCTTCCCTTTGTGCTGACTCCATTCTTACACAAGATGTTGGATCACTGAGGTTTCAAGCAGCTTGTCAACAGTGAGGATAGATGCTGGCCAGACCTACTTGTGCATTCTTGGCTGTGGTAGATTAATGCAAAGCCATCTGGCTTGTATCTCTTTAAGCTTGATTAATGCAGTTTCACATCCCAATTTCAGCATGCTGATCAAATCAGGTTTCTGAGCCATCATCACGTCTGAAAACTTGACCTTGAGGTGATGGATTCACCAAGGCTTAGCCACTGGTAAGGATCTGGTTGAGTGATCAGCCAACCTTCTCGAGGTTGGGAAATTTCTTTCAGCAATACCAATAACCTTGACCACGAGACTAATGTTCCTGGATTCTCTTGCTAGTTGCTTCTCAGGTGACCACTAAAGTGACCACTAAGTCTAGGAAAAACGCCTTTGATGTCTGGCTCAGATAACTGCTCTACTATGACCTTCACTGTCATCTCTTGCTGCCAAGTTCTGTTATCTCAAGGTGATATTCACCTTGAAAACCCTGCAATGGCTGATGCTGTTGCACCCAGCACTGCAGCTCATTGACTTAGCAGCGTGTTCCCTAGTGCAAGATCAATGAAGCACATTCTCTATAAAAACAGAAACAAACAAACAAAAAAGGCATTGTATTTGTTCATCAAAATGGAAGATAGGCAAAAAGTAAAGGAAGATTTTTTGTTGGAAAAGGTAGAACTAGGCTCAGCATTTGACCAAAATGTGGGAAATGAAGGAGGCACACAATGGACATGGGTTATTTGAGAAGTAGGAGATAGCTTCAAAGAGAGAAAAAGGTGCCTTTACTCCTCTATTATTTTATCAAGCATGAGTATATTCACATTAAGCCTGGACAGGCCTATATTAAAGGTAAGACTTAAGTCTTATGTGTAACTTTCTCATAATGCCACTAGAATAAAAACTTCATTAGACCTTAGATAGGTAATGAGAACAGAAACTGCTCTTAAAAGTTGTGAACAAGCATGACTTAGGAAAACAAAACATGACAGCAAAAGATCTATCTCATATGTTAAGTAACATATACCCTTTATGGATGAGAGATACACAATAGCACTGCAGAGGAAGATGGGCATAGCATAGATTAGGCAACTGATATTTGTGGGTGTGTTGGGGAAGGAAAAGTTTGTGATTAAAGCATAATTAAGGCAGCATTGTGCCACATGCATTGAAGACTCCTGACGGAGATAAGAAAGATAAGGAACTAAATTTATACTCTGCAATTGTACTATTTTTATGATAGTGGCCAAAGTTTATTGAGATTTTCCTACATGCAAAGTCTGTGCTAAATCCTTTATGTACATTGTCTCATTTAATCATCTGGAAAACCCTGTGTAGTGGGTACGATAAGGAAGAAGCTTAAGAAGATATGTGATGAGGACATCAGGAAGATGGCAGACTAGGAAGTTTTAGGTCCTTGTTTTCCCAAGGAAATGTTAAATAAGAGACTGATTAAACAATTTTATAGAAGCTCTGGGAATCAGTCAAAAATTTATAAGAACGAAGCAAATACCCAACTAAGAAAAATCCACATTAAACATGGCAGGAAATTTTATTGCATTTTTACTCACCCTTGCCCCACCCTGCCCCAAGGCAGCATGGCAGTCTGGGGGATGTGATGGCCTGCTGCCCAATTTCCTTCTGCAAATTGGAGAGATTTAGACCATATTTGCAATGTTCTACCCTGTATGACAGAAGCCTGGGAGATTGACCTCTGCGTTGCTTAACTAGGAGCTCAGACAGCTAAAAGTGGCACAGTTTGGATTTCAGGCTAGAGGAAGATAGGAGAAGAAGCAGGCATGGCTTGTGAAAATCACAAGGGTTTTATAGACCCACAGATATCTGGGGCAAGAGATCTTTGAGCAATACAATAGAACAGGTGAGACCCCAAGAAGAAGCAAAGGCGAGACTATTAGAGAAATTGAGACATTAACCAGCTGTGTATATGAGGGAATCAGAAAAAAGCGTGCACACAGGTCCAAGGAAGATACGTGGCTAGAAAAGGCCTTCACAGAGGGCCTATTAGTGAAGGTCTTCCTCTGCTTAGAGTCAGTCTTCAAAGACTGGGAGAGGTGGCTATTTTTTTCAAATGCCCAATTTTCAACAAAAGATCGCAAGACATTAAAATTAAAAAAAAAAATCTGGCCTGTTCAAAGGAACAAAATAAATCTTCAAAAGCTTGAAGAAACACAACCATCAGACTTACTAGACAAAGACTTTAAAACCACTCTCTTAAATACACTTAAAGAGCTAAAGGAAATCAAGAAAAGAATGTATGAGTAAAATGAGAATATAAAAAAAGTAGAAATTATAAAAGTCAAATAGAAATTCTGGACAGAAGAACACAATAAGTGATTTCAAAAATTCACCAGAGATGCAACAGCAGTCTTGAATAGACAGAAGAAAGAATCTGTGAATTTGAAAAAGGTCATTTAAAATCATTGATGAGTCTGAGGAATAAAAAGAAAAGAGAATAACAAAAAAATGAACAGAGCCTAAGGAACTTGCAGGATCCCATCAAGTGGACCTACATATGCATTATGAGAGTTCCAGAAGAAGAGAGAAAGAGTCCAGAGAGATTATTTGAAGAAACAATGACAGAAAATACCCCCAATTTGAGGAAAGACATAAATGTACAAATGCAAGAAGCTCAAAGAAATCTGAGATAAACCTCAAAGACCCACACCAAGTTAGACTGTCAAAAGCCAATGACAAAGAGAGAATCTTGAAAGCAGTAAAGTAGCCTGCCACGTACAAAGGATCCTCAATAACATTATCATGTATTTCCCAGCAGAAATTGTGTAATTTGCCTGAAACCAAACAACTAAGAAAAGGTGGACTTGAACCCAGGCCCATTAGTGCAAAGCTCATTCTCTTAACCAGTGGTTCTCAAAGTGTGGTCCCTGGGCCTACAGCATCAGCATCACCTGGGAACTGGTCAGAAGTGGAAGTAAAAATTCTCAGGCTTCACCTTGACCTCCTGAATCAGAAATGTCTTTAATAAAACCTGCAGATGTTTGAACTGCTCTTAACCATTACACAATGGATGCACTCCTTGAAAATGCTTGAGGATTTTTTCTTTTTCTTCTCATAAAAGTATAGCCATATATGACCACAACCCATTATCTGCAATTCTGAAAATTCAGAAAACTGAACACCAAAAAAACTTTTTTTTAGTCATTTGTGGTAGCAAAATTCTTACCTAAACTAATAATTGGTTACTTGGCGTTTTTGTTTATCCTGCTTAGTGTGGATATTCATGTTTCATTGTAAGGGTATGATTGTGTTTAATGACAGTGTGTTGTCTCATAGGCTGTTGAGGGTTTTTTTGTTTATAGTATATATGTTATAAATAAATATGCTCTAGTAACTGGCCACTGGAAGAAGTAAAAATTAAAAAATAAACACACGTGGCCCTATGAGTTTCACATAAAAGATTCTGGATCACTTCAGTAAATAAAGATTACTGGGATATGATTTTGGAAGCCTGAGTTAAAACCAGACTCTGCTACCTTGCTACCTTGAAAAGCAATGAGCTCTCTCTTTGCCTTGGTTTCTTCCCTATTTAACTAGGGATTAAAGTAACTAATCTCATAATCTCCTCCAGCCCCATCCACTAGAGATATACCTGGCCATACTTGGAGCACAGATTTTTAGTTATTTCCTTAATTCTGTTATTTTCTCAGCAGGTTACTCTTCATTTGATATTATCAGGTTGGAGCAAAAGTAATTGTGATTTTTGTTATTACTTTTAATGGCAAAACCCATGATTACTTTTGCACCAACCTATAAGATGCTTTCCATCTTCCTCTCCTTATCTTGGTGCAAGAAAACTAAGTGGTGTGACCATGTGTATACATAAATATTTTTAAAAGGACCTCCCCCAAACTCAATCATGATTATTTGTGTTATAGGGGAGCCTGAGAACAGGAGTGACAACTTTTTTAAGGGACTGTTACTACCCACTAAGTTCAGAGAGACTTGGTTTTATTAAGTATGCTAGAAAAGAAATAAAAGAATCCCACTGGTCTTTCTGGGAAGATATCCAGGAGTCTCCTATCCAAGAGATAGGAGTCACAGGCGGTCTGTACACAGCCAGTAGAAGAGGAGTGAGACAGGACCCAAGATGATAGACTGTCTGCTCTCAGCGTGTGTGTTTAGGGAACATGAGACCAGAATGAGACACTTCCTGCAATGCACCCTCTAAGTCTTGACAGCATCTTGTACAATTGCTGCTGCTGACTTTATGCCCCAGCTGTGCAAGGATGCTTTTGGTATGGAGCCCCTGGTGAGGATGACTTTTTGCTGGAAAAAAGAAAAATTGGTCCTGTTGATCCTGCAACCAAGTAAGCTTTGGCATTTAAGTGTGAAGACTGAAAACCCACTGTTGAGTGAGCTGTTATCCTGATTTAAACTTTAAATGGTACATTTTGCCTTTTCTTGTGACAAGGTGTTCTTTTTGACTTTCTCCAGGTAAAATATTTTTCCATACTCTAAGAATAAAAAAACTCAATAAATTATTTATTCCCGTCAGGCAGGAGCTTGCTCAAAATATCTATATTGAGCAATTATAAAAGCCTTGGAAATTTCCATCTTCAACCTTAGAAATGACTGATTGAATTCCAATTAGGGAATCATGGACAGGAGAGAATTGGAAGGAGAAGTATTTCCTGTAACAAAGTTTGAATTATAAAAAAAATAGGCCAAGTGCAGTGGCTCATGCCTGTAATCCCAGCACTTTGGGAGGCCGAGGTGGGCGGATCACCTGAGGTCAGAAGCTGGAGACCAGCCTGGCCAACATGGTGAAACCCGATCTCTACTAAAAATACAAAAATTAGCTGGGCGTGATGGCATGCACCTGTAATCCCAGCTACTCGGGAGGCTGAGGTGGGAGAATTGCTTGAACCCAGGAGGCAGAGGTTTAGTGCCATTGCACTCCAGCTTGGGCAACAGAGTGAGACTCCATCTTAAAAAAAAAAAAAAAAAGAAAAGAAAACTTAGTCTACATCAAGATTGCCCAACCCTCCTTATTTTGTTGTTGTTGTTGTTGTTCTGTTTTGTTGGGTTTTATCAGCCCAAGGCCATGGTTTTTAATTTCTGTCTCTAGTAGTAAGCAGAAAAGCGGGATGAGGAAGGGGCTTTACTGGCCCAACCAGACCAAACACAGAAACTAAGAAGCCATGACTGTGTTCTCTCCCTTGGGCACCCCTGCTCTACATGCTTTCTATGGCCTCTTCTTCCTGAATGTATTCTTTCCCTCCATTCAAGGTTCCACTTGTTAAATATGATCTTCCCCTCTCACGGAAGTGCCACTGTTTCCTTGATTTCTCATAAGTTTCTTCCTCTCTTATTCTTGCCTTAGGCCATCTTCTCATCTTTTTCCCCGCTCCACTTTCTCCCCCTTACGTCCCCGCTCCTCCTTCCATCCTCCCCTCCCACACACTCCTCCAAATCCCAAAATAACGAGTGCAGAAGAGGATACATGGCATGTTCAAGCTTGAGAGTTGTGGTCAGGGTTAAGCAAGCGAGAATGAGAGTGATTCTTTTATTTTTCCCACACTTGAGTGATTAGGCTATTACTGTTTCCCTTTAGGATAAAGATTAAAGACTGTTAAAAAGTTGTTAAATTCTTAAAAAGGACTAATTTTGTGACTCCCAGTAGTAATAGTCTGAAAATGTTCAGAGGTTTCGAATTTAATTTTTTTTTCATTTCATGTATTTTAAACTGAAATCATATCATTCACATTTAACTGTGGTTTCATTCTATGAGCAAATTATTTCTGATATATATAGTATATGTATATATGCATATGCACACTCACTTCTGTACATACAACTAGATTTGTAATAATTTTAATATGTTTAAATAATTTTATGAGTTTTAAAAGATATGATTCATCATCTTAACTCTGGAAGGTACCTTTAAAAGTATCTCTTGCACTCTCATCATTTTACAGATGAGTAAAGTTATTTTCAAAGAAATAATTTGAGTAGCAGACAGACTTCGGCCTGGTTTCAAGTTCCTGAGACTCCTAGTTCATCATTCCTTTTACTAAACCCTAATGTCTCCCACGCAGATTCTAATTATATCTTATGAATTTTTAAACTTCCAAGATTAGAGAATTGCAAGATTGAAGTTTTTCATAGACTAGTTGTAATGAGAGCAAATATAAATTAGAAGGTGATTGGAAGTGAATCAGAAGCCTGAATTTATAGCTTCTAGGATGCTACTTAAATTAAAAAGTTAATTATAATGTGAATATGAATGAAAAGTTTATTGCTCATTATTTAAAATATTTACATATTTATAAGAAACTTCATAGAAAACACTTGGATGTTCATTTTTCTTGTGTCTATAATACCTAGTAACTGTTATATTGTATAATAGAATTCATTAGTTTTAAAATATGTCAGAATCCATTGACACGTCAAGTAGAGAAATTATATCCCCTGGAGCCTTGAACACTTTTGAAGGATTGATAACAGCTCCTGGTGAAAATTGAAGCTAGATTTGGTGACTTAATGTGGTCCTTTCAGGGATAGAAATCCATCCATGTATTAATGGAGTGTAGACAATTATTGGTGGTGACAATCAATACGTTTTATTAGATAGCAAAAGGAGAACAAAGGAGAAGCCTGACTCGCAAATGTTTATTTCTATTAGCATTCAGTCATCCTTACCTCCTAGTCCATACCAGGGCTGGTTTTGAACTGTTGTCCTGATACAGTCACATACACACAGTGTGAGAGAAGCTTCCAAGGGGGGATGTTTGAGCACGCCAGACTTTAGTGGCAGACAGACAAGATTTAAAAACTGGTTCTGCTACTAACTTGTGACTCTGGGCCCAATACGTGACACAGTTGCCCAAACCTCATTGTCTTCATCTTAAAAACGAGAATGCTAAGATTTGTGTCCCAAGGTAGTGTCATCATGTCTGCAAAGTACTTGGCTTATGGGCCTCTCAATAAGTGGCAGCGATTACTATCATCATCATCATCATCATCATCATCACCATCATCATCACCGTCATCATCGTTTTGCTATTTTGAAATGCGTGACTATATGAGTATTTATGTGCATTTTTCTAGGAATAGTTTCTAGTGTTCATGATTTTGACCATCCCTTGATTTCACCTTTTTCTAAGTTGAGCAGCAGCATCCTTTTGACAGGTACCCATCAGTTATATAATCTGGAAGTTGTTCAGCTCCTCATGGCACTGCATGCTATTAAAATACAGGAGAATCCAACTTAATATTCTGTGTCCAGACCACAAGCACAGTTAGCAGACAGAGGTTTCCTTTCCAGTGACTTTTCAAATCTCTCACCAGCAAGGAATAGACCATTGAAAAAAACTTTGCCCTACAAATTGATAATGAGACAAGAGCAGATGGCGACTTAGCCTAACACACATCTCTTAACTAACTCCTTGATTCCTTCTCCAGGAAGCTTAGTATAATTTCACTATCAAAAATTAATGATAAATATGTGATATCATATGTGTTTCATGGAATGGGTTTAGCTTTATATGGGTTTTCTGTTTTTAGCACCTGTACCTACAAAGAGTTTGTTTGCGTAAGTGGGGTGTGTGTGTGTGTGTGTGTGTGTGTGTGTGTGTGTGTGTGTGTGTGTGTGTTTTAATAAATTCTTATTCTCTTTCTCAGTGTAGCATTCCTTGGTAATATGAGTGCAGTTTTCTGTTTGTTACATGGTGGGCGAGTTGGTTCATTTCTGGATAAATGGCAAATTTTAATTTTGTATGTTCTTTCCTTTTTATCTTAGCAAATGCTTCTTTGTGCAGGCAGACAAGCTTAGATTATGTTAAAAATATATATATCACTGGTTAGAGACCACCATTTCTTGCTTCCAGAACAGTTTCACAACTTGATCTCTCATCCCTGCCAGCATGAGCCGTTTTCAGTCAAGGGATATCCGTGTAATCCACAGGGAATTCCTTGATCATAAGCTTAGTAGGCTGGAGCATGGAAGGGGAGGTTCAGGATCACAGTAACCATATGACCCATCCTAAGAAGATCAAGTACTATGTGTGTGTGGTGGGTGTGAATCTCAGCCCAGCAACTCAGATTTAAAAGATACTCCATTCCAAATCTTTACTACCTGCCAAGCTGATGACTGGCAGGAATTCAGTCTCAGCCCTGACTGACCAAGGTTGTACAAGATCCTGGAGTCTTTCCCAGCAGCTGAGGACCCCTCTGGTTATATGTGTTTGTCCCAGCTAGTTGTCAGTAGAACCCATCAGCACAGCCTCATGTCCCTTCAGTTTTGGGGACTGGCAAAGCTGGAGCCCCAGGGCCTAGAGTCCAGCCTTTGTGGGTACACACAACATTTGACCTCTGAGAGTCTGCCTGGGTCCAGGTGGCGGGTCCTTTGGTCCTTGCAAGACCCATGGACTTCCCCCCCTTTCCAGTTGTGAGGACCTTCTCCTCTCTACCTTGGTGCATCTCCAAGGCATTCCTCTCCAGACACCCTGTGTCATCTCTTCAACAGCTCAGGATTTGGGAAGACAAAATACTATATAGAAATGGAAGTGCACTTTGGAAGGCCGAGGCGGGCGGGTCATGAGATCAAGAGATCGAGACCATCCTGGCCAACATGGTGAAACCATATCTCTACTAAAAATACAAATATTAGCTGGGCATGGTGGCACGCACCTGTAGTCCAAGTAGGCTACAGGAGGCTGAGGCAGAAGAATCGCTTGAACCATGGAGATGGAGGTTGCAGTGAGCCATGAGCACTGCACTGCACTCCAGCCTGGGTGACAGAGCAAGACTCCGTCTCAAAAAAGAAAAAAAAATAAGAAATGGAAGTGGCTTGTGCACAGTCTCCGCTTTTAGCCCTGGATGAAAACTGTCTTGAGGTCCTGTCTTCTTTCAGATGAAGAAATGAAGGAAATATGTATCTTAGTAAATTATCCTGCATGTTTTGAGAGATTCAAACATAGAAAGTTAAGGAATGTGTGTACAGGAAATATTTAAATAGAAAATAGATTAGCTACAAAGGAATGTGTGTACAGGAAATAACAATAACTACAGTTGCAGAAAATAGCATCTGGTACCAGTTGGTGACCCTGGGGCAGGACGCTGGAACACACAGCAATCAGGAGTGGGATTACTTTACACTGGGGATCATCTGTACTTTTTGAAGTTTCTTAACCTATGCATGTAATGATTTCTAAAAATATGAAGAAGTTTGCTGGAATCTTAAAAGTGCGTGAATAGATTTAAGTCACAATTATTTTATTTTATTTTTTGAGAAAGGGTCTCCCTCTGTTGCCTAGGCTGGGGTATAGTTGTGTGATCCCAGCTCACTGCAACCTCTGCCTCCCGAGTTCAAATGATCCTCCTACCTCTGCCTCCGGGGTAGCTGGGACTACAGGTATGCTCCACCATGCCCAGCTAATGTTTTTGTATTTTTTGTAGAGACAGGGTTTCACCATGTTGCCCAGGCTGGTCTTGAACTGCTGGGCACAAGCGATCTGCCCACTTCTGCCTCCCAACATGATGGGATAACAGGTATGAGCCACCAATCCAGCTCACAATTATTTTCATTACCAAAAACTGTTATTTGTTTTATAGAAACATTCAATGAAGAAATCTGTTCTGCCAAAACCATTTGAAGTTTTTCCTGAAGTTTTATATCAAGAAAATAATAAAATGAAAAAATACCGGATTTTAAAACTTTGACATATTCAAATTTAGATTTGTTAATTAAAATTCTGTGTACATAGAATGTTTCTTATAGAAACTAATTTATTGCATTAGGGAAATATTCCTGCATAGGCTTACGTGCTACTTTTGGGGGTCTGAAAGTGAATCAACTTGCAGAACTTATATCATTATCTAGCAAGTTTCACTCATTACAGAATTGTCTCATCCCCTTCAATGTGTCAACTCGGAAGAAACTTAAGCCATATTCAGACTGTGAAAAGATACATTTAGAAAAACTATTTTAAACCTCTGGAAACAGCACATATTTGGCCAGATGATGCTGATCGCCCTTGGTGGACTTGAAATATAGCAGCCAAAATTGTCTTCTGTGCTGTGTGGCCAATCTGCAGTGAAGAGGGCCCGTTATGTGCACTCACGAGAAAACTTATGATTTACAGTCCTTGCACCCAGCTGGGCCACATAGTTGACACTTATGCTTTTGAACATCATTTTTTGGTTCTGGAGGTAATGGCAGCTTTAATGGTATACAACTTTTCTAAGCAAGAAGTTATGCTATTCCTTTGAGGAATCTTTCCCAGATCTGGTTTCTTGCAAGGTTTTGAGGAGTCTTATTGAGGCACAGAAAATTTACCCCAGATAAGCATCAGACTTGAAAGTAGCCATCAGTCAGCTTCTCATTTAGCTGGTGTCGGTGGGGTACATGTCAATTTGACAGAGCCCATGGTGGGCAAAAAAGAATTTGCAAATAATGGGATTTATTAATGCAGCCTCAACTTATGAAAATTACTGAGATTCAAGACACTAGAGGAAAGGGAAAAATCACATATAATCGCCCTCTCGTGGAAAAGCACTTGACATCATCCTTGAACAATGATAGAGCAGAGTTTAATTGCTTTGTAGTTACTGGGTAAGATCTGGTGTCAAGGACTTGAGTCTGCTCTACTATCTTTTTCCTGGCTCTTCGTTTGGAAACAAATACTAGCAATAATTGATGATAAGTCCTCAGTTCCTAAGAATGTCACTGTGCTTTAATTTGAAGAGGCAACTTGAATCCAAAAATGTGCTTGAGTCAAGCATTTATTTTAAAATAAATAAATCCAAGGATAAATCCTGAACCTACAGATGGACCAACCTCCTGTGTCTTCTACCAAGTACAGTTCGGAGGCCCTAAGGCAAACTCGGATGTCATAATTTCAGTTTTAGAAAATAGCATTTATACATTTTAGAAATACTTTTAATGTGGGTTGAAATAAAAATGATTCTCTAGATAAGTCTGGCTTAATTAGAAAATGTAATGAGCTCCATTTCCTAGTTTGCCTCCAAGTTGTAACTTCAATTTCATCTTGTGGGCAGTCTCAATTGTTAGTAGCTGCTTGAAGCAATGGGCTGAGAGAGACGGCGAGGCCAAGGGCAGGCTCAGGAAAGAACAGTGTGATTGACTATCATTGCCAGCATTGGGCGTGTGAGTCAGGAGAGTCAGCATGTATTTGCTATTTTGGCTATAACTTTTCTATCAACTCAGGAAGAGAACTGGAATTCTTGAGCTAATGAACAATGCCTCCCTCATGATCATTTTCTGAAACTTATGTTGTCCATTGCAATTGTTCATCACAGATTCTGGTGTGTCAGGATGGCCGAGCGGTCTAAGGCGCTGAGTTCATCACAGATTCTGATATTCGGTCCCCTACTCCATCAAAATATCCAGGAGAATTTCATATATAAGAATCCCAACCCATGTCCAGACTCTACTTTTGGGGTCTCTGAGATGGCTTAATAAATAGTGTAAGGGGGTAAAAATTTCCCTTTACCCTTCTAAATTCTGGGCTGAGATCACCTGCTCCAAAAGGCAGATTAAGAAGAAGAAAAAACAAACAGAAGCTTACATGTACATTTCATATGTATTTGGGAGATACCCAGAGAATGAGCAAATCTCTCTCATTTTTGAAGTTTAATTTAAAAAAATTTTTTACAGGCAGAGTCTTGCTCTGTTGCCCAGGCTAGAGTGCAGTGGCACGATCATAGTTCACTGTAACCTCAAATTCCTGGGTTCAAGCAATCCTCCTGCCTCAGCCTCCTGAGTAGTTAGGACTACAGGCACATGCTACCATACCTGGCTAATGTTTAAAGTTTTTTGGTAGAGACAGGTCTTGCTGTGTTGACCAGGCTGGTCTTACTCTCCTGGCCTCAAGCAGTCCTCTTGCCTCAGCCTCCAAAAATGCTTGGATTACAGGTGTGAGCCACCATGCCCAGCTGAGAATGAGCAATTCTCAAAAAGGTGACTTCTAACTCTGGCTTACATAGCATCTTCAGTAAATAACAATACATTTTTGGAGAGGTGACGAGACAAAGGAAAAAGACCTAGAGTCTGTAGAGGCAACCAATCATGGGAACGCAAATGCAGTCATACATCACTTAATAATGGGTATCTGTTCTGACAAATGCATCATTAGCATAGCCTACTACACACCTAGGCTATATGATAGAGACTGTTGCTCCTGGGCTACGAACCTGCACAGCATGTTACTGTCCTGAATACTACAGGCAATTTTAACACAATGGTAAGTATTTGTGTACCCAAATGTATCTAAACCTAGGGAAGGTACTGTTGGCTGGGTGCAGTGGCTTACGCCTGTAATCCCAGCACTTTGGGAGACCAAGGTGGGCGGATCACCTGAGGTCAAGAGTTTGAGACCAGCCTGGCCAGCATGGTGAAACCCTGTCTCTACTACAAATACAAAAATAATTAGCCGGGTGTGGTGGCAGGCCCTAGTAATCCCAGCTACTCGGGAGGCTGAAGCAGGTGAGTTGCTTGAACCCGGGAGGTGGAGGTTGCAGTGAGCCAAGATCTCACCATTGCACTCCAGCCTGGGTGGCAAGAGCCAAGATTCTGTCTCTAATAATAATAATAATAATAATAATAATGTTTTAAAAAATAAAAATAAACCTACGGAAGGGTCTGTAAAAACACAGTGTTACAACTGTTGCAGTCTTATGGGACCATCATCATATATGTGATCCGTTAACCAAAATGCGTGACTATATAAGAAACTAATGACAGATAAACGCTAGTTAATTAAGGTTGTTATGTAGATTCCTCTGGGGTTGGTCTCCAGGCTGATAAGGGTCTAAAGTTGTCTCTGGTGTTGAACATTGTCCTTCCTGGTAGAGAGGGGAGGAAGACACTTTTGTAAACTCATGTCCTGCTTTTAGGCAAATGGGGGAGACAGAGATATTTCCCTGTGTTTTCTTCTCTATTGCCTTCAGCTCAAAATAATCCTTTTGCCAAAGTGGCATATTTTCAGGTGGCATATTCTGCTCCCCTTCAAAGCCATCCTTCTTCCTGAACAGATTGACAATTCTGACAAGGAGTAGCAGATGCAGGCCAAATGATCGCCTTAATGACAAAGGCTAAATTGGAAGATGTAGCTTAATGTGAGATCCAAACATCTTCCTCACTGAACCCCAGAACTAGGTAGGCTTATCACCCAGGCACAGCCAGTGCTAGACTAGGGCACATCTGGACATGAAGGGGCTTGTCCAGGCAAGACTTGAGGCATGGGTGTTGAGGGTGGGATAGGTCTCCCAAGAAGAAGCAAGGGACCAAGCTGATAACTCTTCCTCAGTCTCACAATCAGCTCATTCATTCCTCCTCCTAGGGCAGTGTGAGTAAAGGTTTGGAGAAAGATGAAAGGCAAGCTCGCGTGACATCACACAAGCATCCTTGAACCTGGAAGACGGCATTAGGAATGGGGCAGATGAATTTCCCTCAAGGGTGCCCATATTTCTATCTGCCTTACCTTAAAAATGTATTCCATATCTCTCCACTTTTCCCCATCCCCAGCATTCACACGGTGGTTCAAGCTGCCACCGCCCTTCGCCGAGGCTCCATGCTATCGCAGCGGTCTTCTAATTGTTCTCCCGCTGCAACCCTTGTCCCGCTGCAACCCATTTCTGACAAACATCAGGGGTCATCCTCGTGGAGGGTAAATCAGATCATGTTCCACCCCTGTCCAATCCACTGTGTCTTTTCATCACACAGTATAAACCACAACCTCACACCGTGTCCAATAGCCCTGTGTAATTTAACTCTTCACCAACCCCTTTGCCGTCCCCCCAACTCTGCCCCACCTCACTCCCTAGATTTAACCACATTGGCCTCCCTGATGTTCTTCCAACACTCCAACCTCATTTCTGCCTTGATTTCTTCTTCTTTCTTTCTTTCTTTCTTTCTTTCTTCTTCCTCCTCCTCCTCTCCCGCCACCCCACCCCAGGCTGGAGTGCAATGGTATGATCTCGGCTCACTGTAACCTCTGCCTCCCAGGTTCAAATGATTCTTCTGTCTCAGCCTCCTAAGTAGCTGGGATTACTGGTGCCCGCAACCATGCCCAGCTAATTTTTTTTTTGTATTTTCAGTAGAGACAGGGTTTCACCATGTTGACCAGGCTGGTTTCAAACTCCTGACCTCAGGTGATCCACCCGCCTTGGCCTCCCAAAGTGCTGGGATTATAGGAGTGAGCCACTATGCCTGGCTGATATCTTCTTGGTTGATGTTCCTTTCTGTTCTGAGCACTCTGCTCACAAATTCTTTGCATCTCATCTCAATGTTACAGCTTCAGCAGGGGCTTTCCTGGCTGGCATTCTAAAGAAGCAACCTTTTCCTTAATGTCTGTCATTTCATCCTACTTACTTCTCACACCTGCCATCTTTTTATCTGTGTGTTTACTTATGTATTCGTTGTTTCCTCCCCCAGGGCAAATAAGCCCCATGAAAACAGGGGTTTTGCCTGGGTGCCTTTCAGCACTTGGAGAGCTCATCATGGATTTGGCATTCCATAAATATCAATTTACAGGGTATAAATACATGACCCCAAAATCATCAGACAGATTATGTCCTGAATTTTAATGCAGAGAATACAGTTGAAGTAATGATTATGTCTTTTGTAAAAAACAAAAACAATCAAACATAACCTGGCAGTGAGAGAATACGTCCTAACAGAAAGCAACTCTGCTAGCGAATCTGGAATTCACTGTCATGGACCTCATGCCCCAGGACATTCATGACTTGGGGGGAAAAACACCCAGAATTTGGTCCCTCTGCCTGGATATTTTGTTTTGAAACTTGGAAGAGGCAATGGAGTGTTGTGATTAAGACGATACACTCTACAGTCATATTGCTGGGCTTAAATCTGGGCTTCATCACTCACTAGCTGTGTGCCCCTGGGCAAGTTACTTAAGTTCCTTGTGTCTCAGTTTCTTATCCTCAATAAATGCTCATTGGAAGTAATAGGAGTATAATGGCTACAAAAAATAGAATGAATAAGATCTATTTGATAGCACAACAGGGTGACTATAGTTAATAATAGCTTAATTGTATATTTTATAATTACTTAAAGAGTGTAACTGCATTATTTGTAACTCAAAGGATAAATGCTTGAGGGCATGGATGCTCCATTCTCCATGATGTGCTCATTTCACATCGCATGCCTGTATCAATACATCTCATATACCACATAAATGGATACTCCTATCTACCTACAAAAATTTAAAAAATTAAAATATTAAAAAAAATTTTTTAATGTAATAGAGGTAATAATATAATTACATTTTGCTAGCTGTTGGAGGGTAGTAACTGCCTTATAAGTTGTAACCACTTTTTTTTTTTTCCAATCACCTGTCTTTCTACTGTGTTAGCTCTTTGGGGACAGTGTCAAGATCTTTCTATTAATGAGGTCCCTGCTCCTTTGCCACATCTTATATTAGTGAAATATCAACAGGTAGGTGCATTACGTTCCACCGTTTTCCTCTTTTGTCTTCATCCTCCTCAAGTTTCTTTCTGATTGTTCCTTTCTGGGTCAGTAGTTAGAAATATTAAGCCAGTTAAAAGTGTGCCCTTCTGTCACCACAGTTTTCCTGGTCAGTAAGATTGGCAGAGTGGCTTATAGAATAAGGAGGGGGCTCCTTGCTAGAATAAGGTAAGAGAGCTGCCACTTGCACCTTCCCCCCTTCTCCAGACAGGATAAGCATCTCAGTCCAAGCTGATCTTCCCCTCTAAGACAGTAGCCTCTGCTTTCAAAATCACTCTGCTTAGTTCCTCTGTCGACCCAAAGTGTGCTTGTAGCATACCCTCTAAGATAAGACAAAGGCCAAATCTAGCTTTGTCAAACACACAAGCTCAGACAAAAACCTGAATTAAAATCCCAGCTCAGTGGCATTCTCTCTAGCTAGATGACCCCTGGCCGCTGGGAGCCCTGCTCTCTTCATCTCTCAAACTAAGATCCTCCCTATCTTGCAGGGTTGTTGTTGACGATGCTATGTAATAATATCTGCAGAAGTACTTTTAAAACTGTAAGCAACAAATAATAGCTACCATTATACTTCCTCCACTGCCATACTGTCTCGCTCCGAAAACAAACCATAGTTGTTCTTCACATATACAATTATAGACCTGGAAATAATGAGGCGTTCATCTGCCTGAATCATCTAGAATTATAGAAACAGCAATCTGCTACCACCAACTCAAACTCACTATCATGTCCTCTGCAGCTAATTGTCTTTGACAATCAATTTAAAAGCTAATAAAAAGGAAACATCTGGTGACAAAAAATAAAGTATTAAAAATGGAAAGAAATACATCAAAAGGACACAGAATACAACTTACAGGGGCTCCCATTGGCAATATATGCAACAATTTGAATAATGAATGATGACAGTAATCGGTTATAAAACTTTGAATTAAGAAACATGAATCCGGGCCGGGCGCGGTGGCTCACGCCTGTAATCCCAGCACTTTGGGAGGCCGAGGCGGGTGGATCATGAGGTCAGGAGATCGAGACCATCCTGGCTAACAAGGTGAAACCCCGTCTCTACTAAAAATACAAAAAATTAGCCGGGCGCGGTGGCGGGCGCCTGTAGTCCCAGCTACTCGGGAGGCTGAGGCAGGAGAATGGCGTGAACCCGGGAGGCGGAGCTTGCAGTGAGCCGAGATTGCGCCACTGCAGTCCGCAGTCCGGCCTGGGCGACAGAGCGAGACTCCATCTCAAAAAAAAAAAAAAAAAAAAAAAAAAAAAGAAACATGAATCCATACTAATTAAACATTTTTTAATATAAAAGTGATGGTTAGCTGGATGTGATGGTGCATGCCTGTACTCCCAGCTACTCAGGGGTACTAAGGCAGAAGGATCACTTGAACCCAGGAGTTCAAGGCTGCAGTGAGCCACTGATCACTCTGTTCTCTAGCCTGGATGACAGAGCAAGACCCTGCCTTAAAAAAAAAAAAAAAAAAAAAGTCTTGAAGGGTGATAGGAAAAGGGGGGAAGCTTTCCTTTTTTTTTTTTTTTTTTTTTTTGAGAAGGAGTCTCACTCTGTCACCCGGGCTGGAGTGCAGTGTCACGCTCTTGGCTCACTGCAACCTCGGCCTTCAGAGTTCAAGCAATTTTCCTGCCTCAGCCTCCTGAATAGCTGGGACTACAGGCACATGCCACCATGCCCAGCTAATTTTTGTATTTTTAGTAGAGATGGGTTTTCACCATGTTGGCCAGGATGGTCTCGATCTCTTGACCTCATGATCTGCTTGCCTTGGCCTCCCAAAGTGCTGAGATTACAGGCATGAGCCACCATGCCCAGCCAGGGGGAAGTTTTTCTTTGTGGAAGAATGCCAACTAACAAATAATAGAATGGTCAGAGCAGAGTAGTGTGTGCCTGTAATCCCAGCACTTTGGAAGGATTGCTTGATGCCAGGTGCACAAGACTAGCCTGGGCAACATAGTGAGATTTCATCTCTACAACAGTAAATAAATAAATAATTAGCTGGGCCTAGTGGCGTACACCTGTAGTCCCAGCTACTCAGGAGGCTGTAAGGCAGGAAGGTCACTTGAGCCAAGAAATTTGAGGCTGCAGTGTGCTATGATCATGCCTGTGAATAGCTACTGCACTTCAGCCTGAACAACATAGCAAGACCCCATCTCTAAAAAAAAAATAATCAGCATACTGTTAGCCAGCCAGCTCTTGCTGGTATTCTTTCTGCTATTTTTCACAAGTAAATTCACTCTGATCCAAAGTCTTGGGGAAAAAGTGAAATATACATCTCAGCTGAAATAAAGCAAGGTCCCTAGGTCTGTATCAACTATTTCCATGTCTAGAGGTGGTCAGTGAATCTGCCACATAGGTAGCGAGTCACCTTCTAAGTCAGAAATTCCAGTATCTCTTTGGGAAGGTTAGCCTTTGTCTTGTTGATCCTATGCTTTTAATTGTAGCCATATGATCTCAAAAGCAAATGTAACAAAACCAAAAATAGACTAATGGCAATTAATTAAACTAAAGAGCTTTTGTCCAGCAAAAGAAACAATCAGCAGCATAAACAGGAAATCTACAGAATGGGAGAAAATATTTGCAAATTATGCCTTGACAAAGGACTAATATCCAGAATTTATAAGGAACTTAAACCAACAAGAAAAAAGTGGTCAAAGTACGTGAACAGACACTTTTCAAAAGGAGACATATCAGCAACCAACATAAGAAAAATGCCCAACATCATGGTAAACATGGGTTTACTATGAAGCAGGCATTGAGCACAGCATGTCACTGAGATTCCCTCCGTTAATCTTTGTAATAACCTTTTTTCTGCTCAGAAGCGGGAACAGATTGAAAGAGGTTAGTAATCTGTTGAAGGTCACACAGCTCATAACTGGCAGAGCTGTGTTTTGTCTACATTAGTTCAAACCCTTTCGTTTTGAATTGTTCTCTACATAATGCCAAAATCAAGTATGAAAGTATCATATTTTATAAAAATATACATTTCTAATTATCAGAGAAACGCAAACTAAAACCACAATGCGATACCATTTCACACCAGTCAGAATGGCTATTATTAAAAAGTCAAAAAATAGCAGAAGTTGGCATGGATGTAGAGAAAAGGAAATGCTTACACGCTGTTGGTGGGAATGTAGAGTAGTTCAACCCCTACAGAAAACAGCATGGAAATTTCTCAGCAAACTAAAAATAGAATTACTATTTGACCCAGCAATTCCATCACTGGGTATCTACCCAAAGGGAAAAAGTTATTTTATCAAACGGACACTTGCACTTGTATGTTTATCTCACCACTATTCACAATAGCAAAGTCATGGAATCAACCTAAGTATCTATCAGTGGTACACTGGATAAAGAAAATGTGGTATGTATACACCATGCAATACTACAAAGCCATAAAAAAGAGTGAAATCATGTCCTTTGCACCAATGTGGATACAGCTGGAGGCCATTATCCTAGGTGAAATAACTCAGAAACAGAAAATTGAATACTGCATGTTCTCACTTACACGTGAGAGCTAAACAATGGGTATCCAAGGCAAGGACATACGGATGGAAATAATAGACACTGGAGACCCCAAAAGGGAGGAGAGGAGAAGAGGGGGACGGATTGATAAACTACCTGTTGGGTAGTATGTTCGCTGTTTGGGTGATGAGATCACTAGAAGCCCGAACCCCAGCATTATGAGGTATACCCATGCAAGAAACCTGCGTGTGTACCCCTGAATCTATAATTAAAATTTTAGCCATATGACCACAGTAAGGGTAAAAAAACCCCATCACTTGACTTTGAGTGTGAACCTGACTGTATTGATGAGCCGAGATCATCTGTTCCCCTTCATTAATGTGACCAGAAAATCAAGATCTAAAGAATGAATGTCGGTGCATTGACTGCCATGCACCTTTTTAAGGTCAGGTCCTGATAACTGATCCAGTGCATTAGGCAACAAAAGAAAGCTCACAGTCACTTTGAAAATGTCGTGTAGGCACCAGTTTCTAAGGCTCCTTTTAGCCAGTATATGTAGAAGCATTTTAGTAACTGTGCTTTATGAGTTTGAAAACTTGGAGACATTTTTTTCAATTATAAGTCTTCAGACTAAGTTACTTTAAAAAATGTCTTTCATTTAGCATTTACTAGGAAGCAGGCAATGAGCACAGCGTGTCACTGAGATTCCCTCCTCTAATCTTTGTAATAACCTTTTTTCTGCTCAGAAGTGGGAACAGATTGAAAGAGGTTAGTAATTTGTTGAAGGTCACACAGCTCATAACTGGCAGAGCTGTGTTTTGTCTACTTTATTACAAACCCTTTTAAACTGTTCTCTACAATAATGCCAAAATCAAGTATGAAGGTATCATATTTTATAAAGATTCTTCTGTTTACCAAAACACATACACACACAGCACTTAAAGCTGCCAAATACATGGACTTCATTTTTTAGTAGCTTATTAAAGGGAAACTACAAATAGTTCTTTGAGAAGGTACAATATTGTTCCTGGATGGAAAGTGAAATTTGGATGATCACATTAAGTTTGGAGAATAAATACATGCTATTAATAAGAACAGTTCGAATTCTATTTAAAATTCTATTAACAATGTAAAAAGCTTTTTCTTGTATTTATTCCACCTAAGCTCCCTGGACTCACAGTTTACCTTAAACTATCAAGAAAAGAAGTATAAAAATATTTTTGTTGTATTGCATTCCTATATATCCAGTTTTCCCCTAGTTATCAGGTGTCAGAAATAGTGCTATACAGCCTCTAGGTAGAGTTCTCTTGTGGATGGCAAATAGGTATTCCAGGGATTTGCCCAAAGGTGAATTTCAATGAGATCTGCCTACTTCTTTCTTACCTTGAGAAGTATGAGTATACTCAGGGCTGTGATGGCATGTAAATGAGTTCTGCTTCTATGCTAATTAGATCAGGCCTCTGGAGAGTAGCCAGCTGTTGGTTTTTAAAAGAAATAAAACTATAGGTCACAGAAATAAGTCATTTCAAAGCTGGTTTTTAGAGACCTTTTCTAGCATAAGAAACAGCCATGCGTCCCAGAAGGAGCAATCAACATGTCTGGGTAAAGAAAGAGGAGGAGAGTGAGCAGGTAAATAGGATCATTATTTCCAAGCTTTTCCCTGGAATTCATTACCTGCACAAAGTGTAGTCTCCAGACCTTGAGTGCTGCCTCTATTTTTATTTTACTATAAATTCATAGTTTATATTGATATTTAGTAAAAACCAAATAACGGTAATACAGTAGTCCCTACTTATCCTCAGAGGATGTGTTCTAAGACCCCCAGTGGGCGTGGGAAGCATTGGATACTATGGAACTCTACAAGGTACTATATTTTTTCCTATTCATATCTACCTGTGACAATGTTTAATCTATAAAATAGGTACAGTAAGAAACTAACAACAATAAAACAGAATGCTTATAACAGTATACTATAATAAAAGTTATGTGAACGTGGTCTCTCGCTCCAAAATAACATATTGAATGTAATATTTTCAGACCTTGCTGGACTGTAACTGAAACTGTAGAAAGTGAAACTGTAGAAACTGTAGAAAGGGTAAGGAAGACTACTGTCATAAACTCGGTCTTCCTTGGCTCCCAGGGAATTTCACTCTCCTCCTCCTCCAATATCTCCAGTACTTTCTTCTTTGTCATCTTCTCTTGCTTCACTTTCTCTACCAACCAGGATTGATTAGATGTTTTCCACATTTGGCTTTGACTCTATTCTCTTTTTTAAAGAAATCTCTCTTGATCATCTTACCCACTTCTAAAGCGTCAATCACTAAGGAAAATAAAATCTTATAAGAATGTGTTTGTAATCAAAGAAAAGGGAAGAGATGTTAACATTATCCATCTGATGAGGGCTTCTTACCCCTTTTTTAGCCATGGACCCCTTTGACAGTCGATGAAACCTATGCATTATTCCCTGAATCATGTTTTTAAATTCATGATTTAAAATACAGAGGATTGCAAAGGAAACTGAAAGTGTTAAAGTGAGCAGAATATTTTTAGAAATACATTTATAATAAGCTCATGTGTATCCTGCAGTACATATTCACAAAATGACAAGATCCGGTCACTACCACACTTTCAAAGTAGTGAGAAGGACTTGGAAATGTTGTCTATAACCATACCACAGGAGGAAAATTTTTAGTGGAGACAAAATTGCAGGTTTCATTAATGTTCTTATGGTTTGTTGCCTATGTTCATAACTGAAGGGAAATTTACATTTTAGTTAGTGACTAGGGAAAATAAAGATGTAGAATTCATGTGCATAGATCCCCCTGAATTCTACCCATAGATCCAAGTTTAAGAACACCTGGTCTAAGGATTTCCAAAAAAGATTGGGAATCGTGACTTACTTGTATGCCCAAGAGAAGCCATAGGGACAGTACGAAGAAGGCGATGTTATGGAGCCATCTGTAATTGTACAATTATACTATATTCCTCCCCTCATATGTTTGGTTTATCTGGGCTTCCTGTGTCTCCTCTTGTCTTTCTCCATATACCTTTTATATCATATCAAAGCAAAATTAAAACTAGCTAGTTCTTTATTTGGTGGCAGCTGTTGTGTTTTGGCATTGTTTTGTTGGAGGGATGTTTTTGTTTGTTTATTGGATTGTTTTTTTAAATATATCCATCGGTTGTAGGGGAGGCAGAAACTACTGAGTATCTGGGATTATTTATCCGCGCTATGTCTAGCTTCTATTAACATAGATAATTGGGCTTTAAATGTGGATAGAATTAAGATATCCAACTTCAACCTCTGTCTATTGCCTTCGAAGGCCTCGAGGTACATCAAATAATCCCCTTTCCATCTTGTAACTCTCTCTCCCCTTGGCTTCCTGAACGCTGCTTCTCCTGGACCCCTCTCATCTTCCTGCTTCTCTAAAGGTCTCTCTTCTGAACCCTGTCATCTGTTTCACTCAACCGTCAGTAGGCATTTCCCTCACTTTAGGCTTTGGACTGGTTTTCTCATGGTCTTTTCTTCTTTGATACTCTCCCAATCCCCAATTTACATTCTTTCCCCTGTTCTTTGTCAGGTTTTGTTTTGTTTGTTTGTTTGTTTTTGAGACAGAGTCTCGCTCTGTCACCCAGGCTGGAGTGCAGTGGTACAATCTCGGTTCACTGCAAGCTCCACCTCCCAGGGTTCATGCCATTCTCCTGCCTCAGCCTCCCGAGTAGCTGGGACTACAGGCGCCCACCACCACGCCTGGCTAATTTTTTGTATTTTTAGTAGAGACGGGGTTTCACCGTGTTAGCCAAGATGGTCTCAATTTCCTGACCTCATGATCCGCCCGCCTCGGCCTCCCAAAGTGCTGGGATTACAGGTGTGAGCCACCGCACCTGGCCCGTTGTCAGTTTGAATGGATCCCAGCTCCCCACCTCCCAGCTGAGATTTTAACGACACCCAATATGCATTCTTTGGACACTCACTGTGCACAATTATACTATAGTATATAGTTACGTTAGGCACTGGGCATACAATTCCGGACCAACAAAACATCCTGCCCTCACACATCCTATAATCCATCAAGGAAGGCCTTAATCAAGTAATTTCAGGAGTGAGGTGTAGGATGAAAGAGGAGGAGCAGGTCACTGCAGAAGTTGATATTAAGGGGATCTAGCCTAGTTTGGGGGTATAAGGAAGCCAATCAGGAGAAGTGAAGTTTTGATTGGAACTTTAAAGGTTAACTGGGAGATGGCTCAATAACCAGTGTAGGAATTGGGATTAGGACAATGCATGTGAAATGCAAAAGTCAGAAAGAATAGTGGGGAAGGAAGTAAAGATGACAAATATGGCTGTGGTATGGAATTCACAAAGGGCATTTGAATCCAGTGAAGCTGCAGAGAGGCAGGCCAGGCTGGTAAACACTTGTCAATCATGTGGGGGCGGGTCAAGGGCATCATCCTAAAGACAGTGGGGAGGTCCATAGGAAGTTTCATTAGGCAGCAGGCAGAGTGTCCAGATTCACATTTTTAAAAGATTAATCCAACACTAGTAGGGAAAATGATTTGGAGAAGGGCAGGAACCCATGTGAGGAGACCACTGGAGGGGGTTATACAGCCCAATTAAGAGACAATATGTTGGTTTTGCAAGAAAATCTGTGTCCTCATTGTTTCTGCTTTACCTGCCCCTCATACTTTTAAGATTTGACCTTGAAAATGTCCACTGCATGCTTCTTTTCATTCTCACTGACCAAATTCAAGCTTCTTTTTTTCCCCTGGTCTATTGCAGCGCTTTACTCTCTACTGACTTATCTTCTATTTCCCGTTTCTCCATGCCAGTGGCGTACAGGTGTGCTGTCAGACTTAGCTCCCTAAAACACACTTGGTTGCTCCCAAATGCGACAAAATTAAGTCCAAACTCTTCTCCCTTGATCACAGCCTCTGCACTGTGGTCCCTACAAATGCTGCCAGCTTTCTCCACCATCACAAGCTCCTACCGTAACTTTCCTACTTCACGCTCCCCTTGGCTCACTAACTCACAAATATACAGACATGCTATGTTTTACAAACTCCTCCTAGAATATCTTTCTCTTCCAACTCACTCATAAAAAATTTTCATCTTTGAAGACGAATTTCAAGCCCAGCTTCCTCCTAGATGTCCCCAATCAGAATTTTTCCTTCCTGCGCATGTTCCAGTGATTCTTTAAGTGATGTGTTTTCCCTCTGATTAAGCTTCTTACCCTTGCTTCACCATTTATTAGAGTCTACCTCCTATTTGAGTCAGTACATATGAGATAGGCTTTTCCACTAAATTCTGTTTCTGAGGGCTAGGGAGATTTGTGGTAGTCATTTCTGTGTTGCACATAGTGATTTGCCTGCCCTGTGCTTATAAAGGCTCAACAAATTTTAAATAAATTTTTGGGTGATGATAGGCTGATTGGACTCCAAAACTGCAAATTTATCTGAGCCACATACCCAGAGCCCATTCTGGTTATAATATTTTGGGTTGATCAAATACAGAACATTTTACTAGCAGTATTGTTTTTGTTTCAAAAGCTGGCTAAATGCAACATGTCTCAGTAAGAGTAACAATTAAGTATTTTATTGAGAAGTGCTGAATTCTTTGTTGAAAGCTGAAATTTATTCTGTAAGTATTTTGTGAGCCCTAATTATATCTCTGGCTCTGTGCATACAGCAATGCAAATCGGTGTTCTGGAAGCACCTAACAGGTATTTTCATAAGGACTTGAGGTTTTCCATCAAGAATTGCAGGAGGCTGGGTGCAGTGGCTCATGCCTATAATCCTAGCACTTTGGGAGGCCAAGGCAGGGGGGGATCATGAGAGGTCAGGAGTTCGAGACCAGCCTGTCCAACATGGTGAAACCCCATCTCTATGAAAAACACAAAAAAAAGTTAGCCAGGCATGGTGGCAGGTGTCTGTAATCTCAGCTACTTGGGAGGCTGAGGCAGGAGAACTGCTTGAACCTGGGAGGCGGAGGATGCAGTGAGCCAAGATCGCACCACTGCACTCCAGCCTGGGCAACAGAGCGAGACTCCATCTCAAAAAAAGAATTGCGGGAGAATATACATTAATAAATAAAGCTTAATAAAGCTGGAAAAAATAGCTCATTCCTTTGTTCAGAAGTTATCTGTCACCTAATTCAGAAGTGAAAAAAAGGCAGCCAAGGAAAGGTATGACAATACAACAGATATATTGTCAATATAATAAAAAGTATAAAAAGAGAAAACAAACTTATTAGAATATTGCCAATTGCAGTTTATTTAGGGCTTGATTAATACTATAATTTTATCCTTTTCTTAGCTCTAATATTAGTAAAGCCCTGCAACAAGCAGGTTTTATAATTTTCTTCTCAGTGTCACTTTACACCATAGGCTAGGAAGCATCAGTAGATGCTCAGCAATAATTACTGCATTTATTGAGTTCCAATGTATGCCCCACATTGTTTTAGAAACTGGAGATAGGCAAAACTCAATTTATAGTCTCAAATAGCTTGCAAAGTAGTATCTTATATAGGAATTGAATTGCTTCCAGGGAAAAATAAAGGAATATATTACTAGAAGAAGGTACTTGTGTAGGAAGCTCACAATTTTTTTTCCAGGCTAGATTGAAACTGGACATTAGAGACATACTCTGTTATTTTCTGAAATGTGAGTGCTAACTATGGAAAAATAGAGCATAAACTCTCAGAACACAGTAGGTTAGTAGAGGTTAAATGTAAGAAGACTTTTGTGGAAAAAATATGTAAATTATGAGGAGAGAATGCATTCAGAATGAGTAAAGAATATTTTTTAGATGTCTGCTGTATGCATATATAAAGATCTGTGGCTTCAAATTTGACTAGATTTTGTTTGTTTGTTTTTCAAAATCTTTTCTAAGAATTGCCCTGGTGGAAAATATTCCTGAAGGCCTTAACTATTCAGAAAATGCACCATTTCACTTATCACTTTTCCAAGGCTGGATGAATTTACTCAACATGGCCAAAAAGTCTGTTGACATAGTGTCTTCCCATTGGGATCTCAACCACACTCATCCATCAGCATGTCAGGTAAGCTACATCCTCTGTGTGTGTGATGATTTTACTTATGTGCATTTTCCACTCCTTAGTATTCTGCTCCTCCACTCCTCAAACTCAAGCTCATTTATTTTAGTCTACACACACCCAGAGTACATGTACATTATTACATTTATGTAGATGTGTCGTTGTTAATCATATGTCACTCAGCTCCTACTAGAATGCCAGGTTTGCAAGGACAAAATTATGTTTCATCTTTGCCTACAGTCGGCTCTTTATACAGAATTGCTGTGTTGTACAACTTCAGGGCGTGCTATTTACATGATAATCTCTGTCAATGGCATGGTCCAGAATTCTGCTTCGCCCAACTAGCGTGTTTACAGTTCTAATTCTGTAACTGCTCGCTGAGGCATTTATTTGGTTAATTTGTGTTATAATTCACCTTTCAAGTTATAATTCACCCACAGCCACATTTTTTTAATAGAGTGAAATTTCCCAGGATAGTTGTTTTTCTCGACTGTCGTATTTGGATGAATGGGAAAAAGAAATATGCTTATCTCTTTTCAAAAATAAGGCTCGGAGAACTACCTTTAGAAAACTGACTTAATGATCTAAACAATTTCTGAATAAAATGCTCTGGGTGTAAGAAAATGGTGCTGGTGATTTTAGTGTTTTTCTTTATATTGGTACAACCATGATAGTTTACATTAAGCTACCCTATCTAAATATATAGCCATTGGCCTACACTTAAATATCATATGTAAGTCAAGGGCAAAATAAGTTTTGTCTCCTTTTATGCAAAATGTAGTGGTATTAAGCTTATAATCATGATCTCATTGGTACTTTGAAAGCTATTGAATCTATTCAATTATACTATTTTAAAGTCAAAAGTTACTGGAAAATAAAAACAAAAAACAAAAAACACGAAGGCCGTAACTAAAGAAGAATGGAATGAGTTTACTAACTGTGTTCTACACTTTTCCATCTCTACTAAAGTTTAAGTAAGTGTTTCAGGATTTATTATTCCATAATGTCTCCTAAAATATAGTGGTTTAAAGAAATAGTATCTATTTGTTCATGATTCTGGGCAGGGTTGGGCAGAGAGGACTTATCTCTGATCCATATGGTATTGGCTGGGGTGGGTTGCCTGGGGATGGAGAATCCTGGATGGCTTTCCTCACATATCTGGTATCTCAGCTGGGGTGACTGGAACGTCTGGGATGGCTGAGTCTCTCTGCATGTTCTGTCATGATTCAGTAAATCATCTTGAGCTCTTTACATGGTGGTTGGATCCTCAGAAGGCAAAGAGCTCTGGAATCCTAGCATGTTGCTCCCAATCTATTCCACTGGTAGAAGCACGTCTCAAGTCCAGGAAGGGAGGAGCAACATCCAAGTACAGGAATGAGGATTATTGGTGGCCATCTTTGGAAATAACATACCACAGCCCATTCTCTGGCCATAGCAATTCATATCTCTCTTTTACATGCAAAACACATTCACCTTATTCCTCAAAGTGGGAATTCTACTACATCAAGGGCTCTGGAAGGAAGCCAGAGATCACCTCCAATACCCCTTTTGCTCTTACGTGGGCTCTTTGGCTAGATCTAGAAATTGACACCAGGCAGATTAGCAGGAGAAAAGTCTACAGATTTTATTAGTTTTACTCGTACATGTGGATCTTCACAAGAGAGCGAAGTCCAAAGAAGTGGCCAAAGTAAGATGTTTTTATACTTTTTAGACAAAGAATGATAAATTTGAGGAGAAATGACAGGACAAAGGGGATGTGTGTGGGGGCAGTCAATTTCTAGGGGAGTCACTAGGAGATATAGAAGGGGTATAAAACCAGTGGGAGATAGGATCACTTCATTAAGTGTGTTTATTCAGGTCCATGGCAGCCCCCAGTTTCCCGTCTCTGGTGATAAGGGCTATTTTCTCACCCTGGTACAGGGAGGATGTGCTTCTCAGAAGAATCTTTATGGTTTGCTGCCCACAGGAAGAGACAGGTCAGCGATCCCTTACTGAACTACAATTTTCCCCGTGTTTTCCACTTGAAATAATCACCAATATACCAACCTGACATATTTTGAGATGGCACATCCCTCACTCCTTCAGCTCAAAATCCAGAGTCTCTTTATTTGCATCAGGTCTGGATCTGAGTGAGGATTCTCATGTGGGCTTCTCTTGATTTGGAAACATGCAAGCCAAAAATTTGTCTTTTCTTTAGGCCAGAGCCATTTAAATTCTTCCCTTCTACTTATATTTTTATTTTATTTTATTTTATTTTTGGAGACAGAGACTCGCTGTGTTGCCCAGGTTGGAGTGTAGTGGTGCGACCTCGGCTCTCTGCAACCTCCACCTCCTGGGTTCAAGCAATTCTCCTGTCTCAGCCTCCCGAGTAGCTGGGATTACAGGTTCACACCACCATGCTCAGCTAAGTTTTCATATTTTTAGTAGAGAGGAGGTTTCACCATGCTGGCCAGGCTGGTCTCGAATTCCTGACCTCAAGTGATCCACCCGCCTTGGCCTCCCAAAGTGTTGGGATTATAGGTGTGAGCCACTGTGCCTGGCCCCCTTCTACTTATTTTGAAATGGAGAATAGATTATTGTAAACTGTAGTTTACTTCTATAGTTACTATAGAAGTACTTCAAAAACTTGTAATCTGCCTGAAGAATTTCAGCCAGCTTCACAAGTTCATTAGTTGTATTTTCCATGTTCTATTTTATAGCAGGTGGTACTATTGCAAGCACTCTGCCATTGCATAATACAGATGGCCCTTTCTCAAGGCTTCAAAGGAAATTTCCTACTCTTCTTCCAGCCTTGAATGATAGGAGTAGAGGCTAGCCTCCACCATGACCCAATCCCACATGGCTTTATTTATTTACTTATTAATTTTTTTGAGACAGAGTTTTGCTCTGTTGCCGAGGCTAAAGTGTGGTGGTGTGATCTTGGCTCACTGCAACCTCTACTTCCCGGGTTCAAGCGATTCTCCTGCCACAGCCTCCTGAGTAGCTGGGATTGCAGGCACCTGCCACCACACCAAGCTAATTTTTGTATTTTTAGTAGGGATGGGGTTTCACCATGTTAGCCAGGCTGGTCTTGAACTGACCTCAAGTCATCCACCCACCACGGTCTCCCATATGACTTTAGGTAGATGTTATTGATGTAGAAAGGTAGATGCTAGATGTTATTGATGTAGAAAGATGATAACACTTAGAAGCTTAGTTCAAGTCACTCTCTAACAACTGGCCTGCTGCCAACAAATGGAATTTTTCAACTTACTGCCTATGACCTAACTATCGTTGAACTCACAGGCAAGCTTTTAGGAAGAGACCTAGTTTAGAATAATGTCTTCTGGTAGAGTCATACTGCTCCTGCCGAAGAGACACCTCTTAGCTGCCTCTCATCTCCCTAATAGCAACAGACTTCTGTACAATGTAAAACCAGCTGGTTTTCTGTAGTTTTGAGCCTAATTTTGCTTTGCCTCTTTACAAGGGGGAGATCTGCCTTTGCAAACATGAAGGATAGAGGGGCTTTATCTGCTTTGGGAATTAAATGGATTAAAGGTGCTGTGAGGCTGATCTTGCAGTTCTCGCCATACCTGTCTGTCCCTGGCCATGTCCTGTGGGGAAGCAATGATGTTCGGAGGGTTCTCACTTCAACAAGGTAGTGGAATTTCTCTCCTCTTCTTCTAGTTTTTCTAGTTTGTTGGTGGCCAAGTGACTGTTTCTGCAGAATCTCAAGCCTTTGGTCTCCACTGGCCAAAAGCCAGGCATGGACTATGGTCTTAAAGAGCAAGCATGCAGAATTTAGGGTGTTTTGTTGCCTGAGTGGCTCCCTCTCACCTTGCCCCGATTCCCCTCTCTCAACCCCTAGAGCGGTATGCACAACAGGTTAGCATTAAAAGGTCTGGGGGAACTTATCTGAAGACCGCATTTCTTGGGCACTTAAAGATTAATTTTAGAGAGTTGGGCGTGGTGGCCTGTAATACCAGCACTTTGGGAGGCCGAGGCGGGCAGATCACCTGAGATCAGGAGTTTGAAACCAGCCTGGCAAACATGGTGAAACCCCGTCTGTACTAAAAATGCAAAATTAGCTGGGCGTGGTGGCACATGCCTGTAATCCCAGCTACCCAGGAGGCTGAAACAGAACAATTGCTGGAACCCGGGAGGCGGAGGCTGCAGTGAGCTGAGATTGAGCCACTGCACTCCAGCCTGGGGGACAGAGTGAGACTCTGTGTATCTATAAAAAAAAAAAAAAAAAAAAAAAAAAAAAAAGGAAAAAGAAAAAGATTATTTTTAGAGTCTATTCCCCTCCTTTCCCCCTCTCACTGGGCAGGTAGGGGAATAATTGTGAAGTGATGAAGAATGGAGAAAGGAAACAGGTACTTGCTGCCAACTCCTTCTTTTTGGGTGCAGTTCAAGGACCCCTATATCCTGTTCTTTGCAGATAAAAATCACCAAGTTTTACCCTAAAACTTCACTGCCTATAAAAAGGCACTAACTGAAAGCTACTTTGATTTAAATTTTTACCTGATTTTATCTTTCAAATGGAAAAGGAAATTCAAGACTATCCAAACCTTTCAAACTTTGGGCAGGCAGTCTTTGGACTTGTGTGTGCCCTTTTATCTTTACCAAGACCCTATAAATATTGGCAGATAGTCTCTCATTGGTTTATTGCGTGCAAAAATATGCTAGGAAAAAATAGTTCACACCCTGATTACTCAAGTGAACAAATTTAAATTTTCTTTAAAATATTCTGGTGCCAAACACTATCCTTCACAGATACGTGTGATAAAAAAATGTGTCAGGTTCACAGCTTCTTTTTCATTAATTTTTTTAAAGATAATATTTTTTTAGTTGGGGGACAATAGTCAAATGTGACATTTAATTTTAAACCAACAGAGCCAGAAAAGTCCTAAATGGAACCTTAGATGGCACATACATAAAGAGCAGCCCATAACCAAAAAGCAGCCCAGATGTCTTTTATAATGTAGCAATAAGAAAATATACCAAGAAACCACGTAGCCAGTGGTAGGCAGAACAGCTCAGCAGCAGACGCACACATTTTATTGGTCTGGTCTCTGGAAGAGTAGCAATTTTGTTAGAGTGAGTGTGATGGTTGCTACTAACAGGAATGATGAATATGTGCTTTTTTATTTTGCACACATTTTATTGATCTGGTCTCTGGAAGAGTAGCAATTTTGTAAGAGTGAGTGTGATGGTTGTTACTAACAGGAATGATGAATATGTGCTTTTTTATTTTTCATTTGCATGGAAACAGACATGTTGATTTAAAATGTGTTTTTAATCTGTACCTCCAAAAGGTTGCTGTTTGGGTTTCCACCCTGAAAAACCCACTTTGTTTTTCTTGTCTCTTTCCTGGTGTTAATCTGTTTGTGTTTGTTTCCTTCTGTGCTAAAGGAAACTGGACGGTGCCCTTACTCCGTATCACAGCCTGCTAAGGGCTGCTGAGGTCTAGAGTTTCATGATAACTGTATGTTAGAATTTTATGAAAATACATGGTCGGGCAAAAGGTTTTTGTTTCTGTCTGGATGATGAGTTGCCACCCTAAAATGTTGAAATTCCTGGGACATCTTGATTGCTAATTTATGAGACAAAATGATGGGAATTTATGAAATCAAGCCTGTTCAGAAACAGTCAGGAAATATAACTGACAGAGGCTCATTAGTAGAGCTACCTAATTCACTGGGTTAAAAAAAAAAATCTCACACTCTATGAATTCACTGTGAGGAACCTATAAAATAATTAATGAGCTGCAACAATGGAATCTTAAGGAGATGTATTTATGTGAAATCAATTAGATACTGGTCTACCAGTGAGCTGTGATTGCCAACTGATGATACATCAGAATTGTTTGATTTCGAGAAATTATGATTTTTTAAAATCAAACAGTATTTATGAAATAGCAAGCATAAGAGCTCGGTGATCCAAGAGGTTGTTTTTGGGAAGTACGAGCCTGGATCCTACCTCTACACAGTGGTTAGCAGATCTTAGCAAGACTGCAGAAATGAGCCAGGAGTGGAGCTGAGGTTTTTGTTTTGTTTTGTTTTTTGACCTACTTATTAGCTGTGCAACCTCGGGCAAGAGGATGAACTCTGTATGCCTCAGTTTCCTCAATAGCAAAATCAGGGCGATAACAGAACCTGCCTCATAGGTGGTTGTGCAGATTAAATCAGTTAATACCTGTGAAGAGGATAGAACAGTGTTTGACCATTTTAGTGCCTATATAAGGGTTTGTTATGATCGTGAATATTGTTATTCACATTCACTGATTTGTGTACACACTGTACCTCTGGTTCAAGTTTATTCTGTTAGCAAGTTCTTATTATGGCTCTCACACTGTGCTAGAAATTGGGATGGTTACTGTGTACAATTAGAAGGGGATTAGAGTTTCTGCAAACGTGAGACTCTGGGTAGATAAGAAGTATTAGGCAAATTATCATTGTATGTGGAATTCTTACTTTCATTTGATTTATTAATTATAAATCTTCAAGTGTGTGTGCGCGCACACACCCACAGTCTTACTCTCACTCATCTACTCAAGCAGTTATTGGTTGACACACCCGTTGAGAAGCAGCTGCTCTATCTTTGGAGAAGCAGGGGGCACTTCAGCTTTGGAAAACATCTAGAAGGACTGTTCACCCCCTCACCATCCAAAGCAGCCCCATTCTCAAGAATTCTACAAGCTTAAGAATACCTTTTTTTACCTCTCCATTTGTCCTGAAATTTATGACCAAACACTATCTAGCAAAGTTATCTGGTAAGATTGTGAAATATTTGATCTTAGAACACTATCATTTAATGGAAAATATAACCACAGTCTATATTTGCACGTGTGTGTGTGTATATCTCCCTCTGGACAAATAACATCTTGAATTTTGAAAACACAGTAAATTATGTGGTCTTCTTGAACCTACAGTCCCTCCTAATTTTTGTTGATTGACGTTTTGTTCTATATTGAAGACCCATATGACCTGGCAACATTCATGTGACCCTGCCATTGTGATTCAGGCAGCTGTATCCATGTGTGACTCAGGTCTCCAGGCGCTACCTGGTAGCCCACTCATTCCTTTTCTGCAATATTCTTCCTAACTGATGCGATCAATGCAGTTTGACCAACAGACAAGGGCTTTTGTTTCATCAAACTTATAAAACGTTTCCTTGCCATGTTTGTTTCATAGCCATCCTTACGATTCATTTGTAAATGATATTATTAACATTTTCTATTAAAACCACTGCACGTTTTGGCCCATAATGCCTCTTATCTGTCCTAAGGAAGCCCGCAGCCTGGTGGAGTCCTCTATGGCCCCCTGCCTCCAGCATCTCTTGTTCCCAGGCTCCGTCATCTTTTCCATTCTCCATCTTCCCTGGCTCTCTAAGCCTACTTGTCCTTTCTTGCCCATCCCTACAATCCTAGGCAAGTCTCCATTCCCTCAAGTCTTCTGAAGGAGACTCTTTATTCATTTATCATGCAAACAGTCAGCATCTACTTTGTAACACAGGGCTATGCCTGAAACCCAGAAGAATCCTGTTTTTGACAACGTCACTCCCATGTAAAAGTCTGATAAAACTATCTAATACTCGTGTGGCCTGAACATGGAATATTTAATTAAAATTTCTTAACAATTTTTTTTAACCCAAGAAAATAACATCATAGCATTTCCTAGTTTTCATTTTGCCTGGAAAAAGATTGGCATAGTTGGTGGAGACTAGATCCTTTAAATAATTGAAATTCTTTGAGCCTATTGTAAGTGGCAGGTTGGGTAAAGCAGTCAGGGAAAGCAGGATATTCTGATGCAACATAAAAACACACATTTCATTTTTGTTTTGTTGTAGATCCTGAGGGCTTATACATATTTCTACTATATTATGCAAACTTCCTACCGTCTAGTTTGTCTATTTTTAATGAGGACATAGGGAAAAATAAAACACGTATAAATTAATGAAAGCATAATTAGGATACATACAAATTCTCTGTTGTTATTTGGCTCAGGTGAGAATTGTGTATTTTGTTTATATTTAGTTCTCAGCGCTTGGTTTTATAGAAAAGGCAAATTCGCAGTGTTATTCCAGATCCATGTACTACAGGGGAAAGATCATAGGCTTTGTCATTTATACATTTGATTGACTAATAGTTTAGTAGTTGTGGTCACATTGAACAAATGTCACAACTCATCTGATCTTCAGTGTTCCCATCTATTAATTAAAATTAATTCTGATTTATAAATTTATACCCCTCTATAAAATGGGTATTTTAATAATCCTATCTCATTTGATTGCTTGGTGAATTCAATTAGATAATATTTGTAAAACAATAAAGAATGGAGCTTTTAAAAGATAGCTGTGGTTTTCATTTTTGTTGTTTTGATGCAGGACATTTACTTTCAAATTTAGTGGACACGACTCTCTATGTAATCTTACAAAAAGAATAATATTCAGCTGTCTGTCAAGATTTCAACTTATATGAAAAGAAGTTAAGATAGAAAATTCTACACAGAATACAATTCAAATTGCTCTCTAGGGTTTAGGTGAAGAAAGGAGATGCCGGGCGTGGTGGCCAACGCCTGTAATCCCAGCACTTTGGGAGGCTGAGGCGGGTGGATCACGAGGTCAGTAGGTCAAGACCATCCTGGCCAACATGGTTAAACCCCATTTCTACTAAAATACAAAAAATTAGCTGGGTGTGGTGGCAGGCGCCTGTAGTCCCAGGTACTTAGGAGGCTGAGGCGGGGGAATCGCTTGAACCCGGGAGGCAGAGGTTGCAGTGAGCTGAGATTGTGCCACTGCTCTACAGCCTGGTGACACAGCAAGACTCGGTCTCGAAAAAAAAAAATGAGAGACAGAAAAATACACATATTTTTCAGGTAGACTCCCACTTTTCTCTCCCAATATGGTGGTTTTCAACTGTGGCTGCCAGTCAGAGTCACCTGGGGAGATTTTAAAATACGCTTATGCCCAAGCCCATCCTAGACTAGTTAGGTCACAATATTTGGAGAGGGGCCCAGGCTTCAATACTTCTAAAAACGATGAGGGGATTTTACTGGGCACCCAGGATTGAGAATCACTGTTTTAAACCATCCCGGTCTAATAAACATTGTTCAACTTTCATAGGTTCCAAGATCGGGCCAGGTTGGTCCCTACCCCAGTTTGTCAACCTAACTTTGTGTGTTTCAAATTAATCCTGTGATTGCAATTGTTCCCTCAGTAGTGATGTAAATGAGTAGCAGCTTGTACTTGGATATTCCACATAGCCCTGGACTCTAGGACCCACATCGTATTTATCCTGCTGGTGTTATTGTCCAGCGTACCACCAGTAACAAAATGGAGCTCAGTGATTGCTTTTTGGTTTGAAACAGTAGATTACCTTCAGCCTTTTCATCTCCAGGCTGCATATGATATCAGTAGAACTCCTGGTACAGTGTCAGCATAAAGACAGCATAACCTCACGGAAAGAGTGCCCCTTTATTTCAAAGTAACATCTATTCCCTGCTCCACAGAATCAACACTCAGCAAATGCTTATTTGTTAATTAGCATCCTCCCATTTTAAATGTGGCAACAAAATGATGTTAAATGTGCCTTTATTGAACAAACATTTATCAAGGTGCTGTGCTATTTGCTGGGGATAGAAAATCAAATAAGCAAGGGTCGCTACCTCCATAGAGCTCAAAGTGTGGTGAGGGAGACAGACAAACATAAAACCATTTATAACGATACAGCATAGTAGAACAACACTGAGGGGTGCTCTCAGCAAATTGGCTCATGCAGGATTACCTCTGCTTTTGAACTGTGCAGCAGAGCTCACACGGTGGATTTTGGTCCTGTTTTTTCTTGGTATGTTCCTGCTGCTGCTTCATGCTGCCATTTCCCCATCTGTTGAGTAATCCTGATTATGTTCTTGCTTGCTTTCCAACATATTTCTATGGGAAATCATTATTCTAATATAAACTCATAAGCATTATCATTAGTAAGAGTTTAACCTCTATGATTCCTTTTAAATCCAATCATATGGCCATGAATAAATCATGAACCTAAGATATGCCTTCTAATTGTTCGTATTAATTACTTTCTTTAAGATTGTCTTATCTGAGTTTGCTTGCTTGTATGCTGGTTTATTTTTTCTCTGTATCTTCATTTGTGTTTTTCCTATTTTTCTATGACCATTTTTTTTGGTACTTTCACTCGAATAGGTCAGATTTTTTCCTTTGTCATTAGTAAGAACCTCTCACGATCAAAAATTTGGAAACTATGGAGAAATGAGAGAGAAACCAAATCCTCCAAATGGCCGCCAACAAAAAAAGTTTTTGACAGTTTGATATTTCATGCATAATTTGTATACATAGGCTCATATTATATAAAAAGAATTATATGTTTTGTTTGTTTGTTTGTTTTTGAGACAGGGTCTCACTCTGTCACCCAGGCTGGAGTGCAGTGGCGTGATCTCAGCTCACTGCAACCTCCATCTCCCGGGTGCAAGCAGTTCTCCTGCTTCAGCCTGCCAAGTAGCTGAGAGTACAGGTGTGCACCACCACGCCTGGCTAATTTTTGTATTTTCAGTAGAGATGAGGTTTCACCGTGTTGGCCAGGCTGGTCTCAAACTCCCGGCCTTAAGTGATCCTTCCGCGTCGGCCTCCCAAAGTGCTGGGATTACAGGTGTGAGCCACTGTGCCCAGCCTAAAGAATTGTATCTTAATTTTGAACTTAACATTACAACGTAAGCATCTTTCCATTTTATTAGAAACACTGGTAAACATATTTTAATTGGCTGCATAACATACAATGTATTAGACTTACCAGGTTAAGTTAATATAACTATTTCCCTCTATTGGACATTTAAGCATTTATCTTTTCCCCCTTTTTCTGAATGAGCTGCTGCAGTAAATATCTGTGCGTTTTTTTCTTACTGTCCATTTGCTCAAGATCAATTCTCAAAATGTAAGGATAGGGTATCTGAGCTGCTTTGTTAAGACCATGGAATATTTAGGGAGCATGTGGCAAGTTCTCATGGCTTTTCCCTGAGGATGCTGGAATCTCACTGCAGTGAGGTTTTGAAGGAATTCTCTGTCCATTCTGCGTGGGGTCCTCTTCCCACCTGGAATAAGTGATTGTGGAAGCATTGGGGATATTTGGCACATTCTGGTGTTCCTTTCTTGCCTTGGTCTCCCCTCTTTCCCCTGGAGCAAAGGAATGATGCCAGGCTGTGGATGCTGTGCTCTTCCAGACACTGCTGAAAGGCAGTACCAAGATAATGTTGTCTGTCCCCTCTGCAGCCAGAGTGGACGCTCGAGCAACCCCACAGGTAATTTTCAGCTACTGTAGGATTCCAGCCGCCGAGAGCCTGGTTACCAGCCTCCTGCTTCTGATATTAATCTCTTGCTATTTCCTGGCCCGTGATTGGCATGATGAGCATATTCATCTCTCTTCATCTGTCCCTGACAGGGATGGCTATGTTTATGCCCACAGGGTGCATCATTGAGATAACCATCATTAAGCAAGGCCTTGATGATGAACTGTTCAGACTCATTAAATCCTCTAATGAGGTGGAGCCTGTTATGATGAATGGACAGGCAGCCTGCATGCCTCCACGCCAGATACTCTCCACTGGTTTCAAGCAGATATTCCTTGTGGCTCATTGCCAAAAAATGAGTACTGTCAATCAAGGTGCTGGGTCTGTGGCACTGAACTCCTAAAGCTCTGATTGATCCATTGGGACATCTGTGAAGAGATGAAGCGGCCGCTATCTTCTGGGTTTGGGATAAGGAATTCCATATTTCTCCTGGCACATCCTTAGAACTATTTGCATATTCTGGCCACCACTCCAATTCCCCTCTCTCTCTTAAGCTCCAAGCCTAATCAGCAGGTTCATCACTGTGTTATCTCATAAACAATACCTGGATTCTTTCCAATTTATAAATATTCATATATATTCATATATATATAATTTGTGTATATATACAAATGTATACAATATGTATATATAATTTATATATAATTGTAAATATTAATACATATTTAAATATTCATATATATATGAATATATGAAAAAGGTCTTGCTTTGTTGCCCAGGCTGGGCAGCAGTGGCACAATCATAAGCTCACCTTCAGCTTTATCCTCCTGGGTTCAAGCAATCCTGCCTCAGCCTCTCAAGTAGCTAGAACTATAGGTCTGTGCCACCATGCCCAGCTGATGTTTTTAAATATTTTTAGAAATGTGTCTGGTTATATTGCTCAGGCTGGTCTCCAGCTCCAAGCCTCAAGTGATCCTCCTGCCTGGCCTGACCAAGTGGTTGTGATTACAGGCATGAGCCAGCACACCCAGCTCTTTCCAGTTTTTTTTCATTGCAATTGATACTTCCCTATTTCACCAACCTCATTGCTCTTTCAGTCTCCAGTTCTCCCCTGTAACTATCATTCCCCAATTTGCAGTCCGAGTTCTTTTCTTAGAACAAAAACGTGATTGTGTCCTTCACTGGGTTAAATGCTTCAGAGGGTCCACATTGTCTTCCAGATGAGATCCAAACTCTTCAATGCGTCTTACAAGGCCCTTCATCATGTGACCCCATTTATCTCTCCTGTCTCCTGCCTGCTTTCTGGATTCTGCCATAGGCTCCACCTGGAACATTCTTTCTTCCCTACCTTTCTTTGGGGAACTTTCCCTGAGGCCTTATGCTGGATTATTGATGCCATGCTATGCTTTTCCCTTGCTCTGTCTTCCTCCATCCTGGAATTTGGAATATTGGGCTGTATTTGCTTATCTGTCATCTACATATTCTCCTTGAATATCACTAGTACTTTCAGGTCGCTGACACATAGGAAGCAACCAGTAAATAAATGCTTTGAATGAATTGGCCTAAAAGTCACTTCTCTTTATCCAAGGTCATTTGAGAATAAAGGCTAACACTGACAAATATACAAGGAAATAACCTTCATACTTATATCTGTGGCAAACTTTGTATATCCTACAAACTAAAAATTCAGTAAGATATAAGTAAGTAAATAAATATAAGTAATATAAGTAAATAAATATCAATCTTATAGCAAATTTAACTAATTGATTAAACTAATGAATTAAGCCCAAAGGGGATTCATATCTATATGAATATGAATATATATTCATATATCATATGATCTTTCCTCTTAGGTCATAAATTAAAAAAAAAATCAATGCTAGTATATTGCTTCAAAAGAACACTTTGACTTAAATCCTAAATCTTATTTTCTTAAGACTATAGCATCAAATGTTTAATATGTTCAATCAGTTATATTTCCTTTTTAATTTTCACTTAAACTTTATATGCACGTATACACACACATATATATATGTGTGTAAGTAGGATAATGGTATATCCAAGATAAACTCTTCTGCAATTGGGCGCTTATGTTTCTCTGGGATAGATTTCTAGGTGTAGGATTCCTGGGTGGAAGAAAGCCGATATGTCAGAGTATCATTTCCCCAAATCTCCAAATCTCTGACGAGAGGAAGTGTTGACACTCTTAAATGTTTTTCAGTCTCTTTGAGTACAAAGAAAGGTCTCTTTATTGTGCTGCTTTGAGCTTCCTTGATTACAAAAAGCATCTCCCTATGTCTGTTGGCCATAGAGGCTTGCTTTTCTTTTTTTTTTGGAGACTGAGTCTTGCTCTGTCCCCCAGGCTGGAGTGCAGTGGCGCGATCTCAGCTCACTGCAACCCCCGCTTCCCGGGTTCACGCCATTCTCCTACCTCAGCCTCCTGAGTAGCTGGGACTACAGGCGCCCGCCACCACACCTGGCTAATTTTTTGTATTTTTAGTAGAGATGGGGTTTCACCGTGTTAGCCAGGATGGTCTCGATCTCCTGACCTTGTGATCCACCCGCCTCGGCCTCCCAAAATGCTGGGATTACAGGCGTGAGCCACCACGCCTGGCCAAGGCTTGCTTTTCTTAGTCATTGACTGTTCTCATACTTTGCCTGCATTTTACTGGGCTTTAGGACTTTTATTATTTTTGTTTGATAGAAACAGACCCTCACTATGTTGTCCAGGCTGGTCTCAAACTCTTGGCCTCAAGTGATCCTCCGCCCCCACATGGCCTTCCAAAGCACTGGGATTATAGGCGTAAGCACTGCACCTAGCCAATTTTTAACACATTTTGTAGAGTACAGCTATTATCCCTTCATCTCTCATTTGTGTAGCAAATATTTATTCCAGATTTTCTTATTAACTTTGTAGTATCTTTTGCAGTATAATTTATTTAAATATGTTATAATTCTATATGTCTGTATTCTCTTTTATTACTTTTATATAGCTGGCTTGTATATTCATTTCCTGTGGCTACTGTAACAAATTGCCATGGACTTTTTGGTTTAAGAAACAGAAATTTATTTTCTTACAGACCTGGAGGTAGGAAGCCCGAAATCAGTTTCCCCGGATCAAAACCAAGGTGTCAGAGGGTGATGCTCCCTCCAGTGGCTCCAGAGCCTGCCAGCATTCCTCGGCTCTCCCAGCTCCTGGTGGCTTCTGGCATTCCTTGGCTTGCTGCTGCACCTTCCAGCCTTCAAGGCCAGCATCTTCCATTCTCTTCCTGCTCCATCTTCACAGTGTCTTCTCCTCTAGTTGTGTCAAATCCCCTTTTGCCCATCTCTTATAAGTACACTTGTGATTGTATTTAGGATTATCCTCAGATAATCCAGGATAATCCCCCATCATAAGATCCTTAATTTAATAATGTCTGCAAAGACCCTATTTCCAAATAAGGTAACATTGACAGGCTCCAGAGATTCAGATGCACTATCTTTGGGGAGCCATTTTTTAGCCTGCTAACAGCCTGATTAAGGTTCCCCCATTCCAAGACAGTGCACATCATTGCCTGGATTTTTTTGAAAGTATTAGTGTGTACTAATTCTGACTGGAAACACATTTTTATTTGTAATATAATATAGAGGTCCCTTCATATGTGCCGGATTAAACCTTTTTAACTGTTTCGAACTGAATTAAAATAGCGTCTTTTTATTGATAAAAATATTGTGCCTCTATTTACAATAGCAAAGACTTGGAACCAACCCAAATGCCCATCAATGATAGACTGGATAAAGAAAATATGGCACATATACACCATGGAATACTATGCAGCCATAAAAAAGAATGAGTTCATGTCCTTTGCAGGGACATGGATGAAGCTAGAAGCCATCATTCTCAGCAAACTAACACAGGAACAGAAAACAAAACACCACATGTTTTCATTCATAAGTGGGATTCAAACAATGAGAACACATGGACACAGGGAGGGGAACATCACATGCCAGGGCCTGTTGGGGGATGGGGGGCAAGGGGAGGGAGAGCATTAGGACAAATACCTAATGCATGCCGGCCTTAAAACCCAGATGATGGGTTGACAGGTGCAGCAAACCACCATGGCACATGTATACCTATGTAACAAACCTGCACGTTCTGCACATGTATCCCAGAACTTAAAAATTAAAAAAGAAAAAAAAACAAACAAAAAATCTTGTGCATACCATTTCTGGATTATCTATTAAGTTCCCTTCTATATTTATACATTCTTATGCCTCTACCATGTTAATATGATGAATATGATTTTATAGTATTTTAAAAATAATACTGAAGGTATTTATGGTTATAAATTTCCCTTCCACACCAGATATTGCCTCCTTTCATGGTTTTGCTATGAGGTACCCACCTATTCATAGCTTTCTAGAGAAGGCATACATTTACTTTTCTTCTTTGGTATAAGGACAATCTAAGAGTGAGTTTTAAATTTCCAAATAGATAAGATTTGTTTTATACTCACAAAACATGTAAATGATTTGTTGCTAACTTCCTTAGATTGTGAGCTGAGAATGAAGCCTATAGAATATCTCATTATAACTTTTGTTCAGGCTTCTTAATGGCAGTTACAAGACAGATTTTTGTAAATGTTCCACAAACGAAAATTGTTTTAAGGGGATTTGATATATAGAGTGAGAAGTATATAAAAGTATACATATAATCAAGTTTATTGATAATATATAATTTTTATATAGTCTCATTTGTTTTCTATTAGATCTGCCCAATTTTGAGAAATATATTTTGAAGTATTACATTGTGATAGTGTATTAATTGCATTTCTATTAATTTTTGCTTTATATATTTAGTTGCCATGCTCTTTGGTACATCTCAGTTTACAGCTCTCAAAGCACCATAAATTGTGTCATTTCATAAAAATGACCCACTTTTTCCCATCTAATACCTTAAAGCTCACCTCCATTTTTCGTATAACTTTTACTGAGATTGTTTATCCTGTTGATTGTAGATCAGCATTTCTCAACCTGTTTTTTATTATTATCTTCCTGAGGAGCCTTCTAATATATTTTTTTCTTAATACTGCCTCCCATGATATTATAATATCACAGATATACTGCATATGTGTTCTATGTATATCTGTGTGTTAGTCATCGAAAGAGTAACACTATTTCAGTCCCTTTGGGGCAATATCGCTCCCATTGAGAATGCGTGTAATTGATTCTCAGTAGACCTTCCCCTGTAATGTGTGACTTCCATTTCAAAAACCCACATTGAGTGCATGAAACACATGTACATATCGTATTGTTCCTCACTTATTTCTTCTCCCCTCATCTTCTTTGATGGTGTTCAGTGTTATTTACTGTTTGGTTACAGTTTTTCTTTAAATATGAATATGTTCCCCATATGGGTTAAGTAGGCAAGATAGTCTCTAAGTCTGTTTATATCTGCAAATATTTCTTTCACCCTGGCAGGTAACATTCTTGAGTGTGTAAAGGATTCTTGGGCCTCAGTCTTTGTCTTCCATAGGCTATACAACCATGTACTTGCAGCTGGTTAGATCTCTGCCAGTCTATCTGATTCATTTTCCTTGATGGGTAACTATTGTTTTGGTGAGAGGTTGTTCTTTCTCCTCGATGTTAAGTAATTTTACAGAATATAGCTCTAAGTTTTTTTCAAATTTGCCTTCACCTTCAGGTACCTTTTCACCTTGTAGATTTAGTTCTTCCCTCAACTTGGATCATTTTTTTTTTATTTTGGTATTATTTGCAAACCTAATCTTTTTTGTATGCCTATGAGCCACATGCTGTATCTCCTCTATTTATATATCAGCCTTTTCCCCTGATTCCCCTTATGTTTCTCTCTCTCTCTCTCTCTCTCTCTCTCTCTCTCTCTCTCTCTGTGTGTGTGTGTGTGTGTGTGTACATGCACATGTGTACTTTGAGATATTTCTTGCATTTGATATTCAGGCCACTAATCCAGGCTTCAACAATGGCCATATGGTTCTTTAATTACTCTTCTAAGTTAGTTCTAAAATCATCGAGTATTAGTACCAGACACACTTGGCCATCCTTCAGTGCACATATTGTGTTTTAGTTCTAACTTCCATCTTCTCCAGGAGCCTGTATCGCCTGTATCACCAGGTCCCCATTGTGTTAAGCATCTTCCTTCTTGTAATTGGTTCTCTTTAAATGTGTTGATATTTAACTTTATCAGATTATTAGTGGCTTCCATCCTTCAGGTGAAGGAAGGTAAAGACTGGAGATATAGCATTGGATGGTTTACTAGTTCCCCACTGGGGCAACCAAAGGAGGCCTCTCCCCTCATATACCCAGCCTTGGGTTTAGGGAGGTGGCCTTGGCTCCTGCACCACCTTTTGAAGAACAGGCAACTCTGGAACACTCATATAGGGCTAAGAATTATTCTGCAGGCCTCTGGACTCCCCAGAACCTGAGTCTGCTGGTAATTGAGTGTCCCTCAGCCCCAGCACTGCTTGGCTTGGGAGAGTCTATTAGACCGTAGCTGGGAATGGAAAGAGTGGGAGAGACTGGGGAGTAACTTTCTTTAAGAATACCCCTTCCTTTTCCGACTTTAACATAACAAAATGATCATTCAGGGAGAACTGTGTTGCATCAGGAAGAGAGATGTATGTTCTAGGCCTGACTGCCACTAGCAAGCCATGTGGTCATCAGCATGTCACTCAGTTTCTTGTACCTCTGTGTCCTCGTTTGTAAGATGAAGAGATTGGCTGATTATTGATCTAAGTGGTCTTCCAGCTACGGCCTTCTCAGTTTGTAGGAAATCTCAGTATCCTGAAGGTTCTCATTATGATGTGGAGTAAAATTCAGTGGTTTTTCCATCTGTGTTCTGTGGAGCCCCGCGGATTCTGTATGGGAGGAAAGGAAGGGATTGGAGAGGTTTCGCTTACCTTTTTATTTGCACTAAGAGTTCAACTGCTAAAACAAGCTTGAAAGCCAGCACTAGAGTCTACATAAGCCTCAGAATTAAGTTTCTCTAACATGACTTTGGGTTTCTGTTTGGTGTTTTTGCTTATTTCCTTCACATTGTGTTTGGGCATTTCATCCTGTCTCCCAGTTGTTTTGGGTCAACAGAAGTAAGCAGTATTTATGACCCACCAGTCTTTTGGAATTGAAAGGTACCAGAAGATGCCACCTCAAAATAGACCCCTTTGGCATATGGATTATTTTGACCTATGGGGAATTGAGAACCGGCAGTGCAGGAAGAGTTTTTTTTTAACCTTTCTCTAATTGCGTAAAAATGATGGCTCCGTACCAGGAAGAGAGCGACTCCTGGAGACAGCTGTCATCACCTGAAAGGCTCTTACCTGTATAACAGGACAAACCTTACTTACCATACTTCTCCTCACCTTCTTATAACTTGCCTTCCCCACCTGGAAGCCCCAAACTCATTTTCCTTTGCTTAGCCAAAGATAGTATATAAACCTTAATCATCCGGCAACCTCCTTGAGTCTTGTTTCTTTGCTGGATTCCCTTGTATGCATGTAATTAAAACTTTGTGTGTACATAATTAAAATGTTGTTGGTTCTCTCTTGATAGTTTTTCATCAGTTTGATTCCTGGGCCCAGCCATTGAACCTAGGAGGGTAGAGAAACAGGTTTATTTCCTCCCCTACAGGATTGAAGGGTCTCCTACATTAAGCATCCTCTTCAAAGTCACAAAGGGGCTGAGCTGGATCTCTATTTTGGGGGTACAGCTTCCTGCATACGACTCTACTGTACATCATGAGGTTTTTACAGACTTCATTTACAAATTGGTCTAAAGTAGGTCAGCGTTCCTGAGACACTGATAGTCTTTGAGATAATTTATCTAAGTCTGAAATGTTGGCTAATGTTCTTTACTAGAAAGGGCAAGATTTTATATTGGTGATGTTTAAAAGCCAAGGGGCTTTTGTTATTTCTTATTAAAAAAATGATGAGTGAGGTCGGGCACAGTGGCTCATGCCTATAATCCCAGAACTTTGGGAGGCCGAGGGAGGTGGATCACCTCAAGTTAGGAGTTCAAGACCAGCCTGGCCAACATGGTGAAACCCTATCTCTACTAAAAATACAAAAATTAGTCGATCATGGTGGCAGGTGCCTGTAGTGCCAGCTACATGGGAAGCTGAGGCAGGAGAATCACTTGAACCCAGGAGGCAGAGGTTGCAGTGAGCCGAGATCACATCACTGCACCCCAGTCTGGGCGACAGATCGAGACTCCATCTCAAAAGTTAAAATTAAAAAAAATGAGTGAATGTAACTCAGAAAGCATTAGGAGGCCTTACTGCAGATCTCTGCACAGAGTAGGGTTTAATACCTTTGGAAATGATTACATTTTGAATGTCTTAACAAAAATTATCATATGGGGAGATAACACACTGAAGACGATTTAATAGAAATTCTACCTCAAGCCTAAGTATGGAAACTCTACCCAAGCCCAAGATCGTTACAGTGAGCACTATAATTAAAAATTGTGGGATTCCTTGGTGTAAGTAATCAGCACATACTAAAAGTAAAAATAAGCTTTATTTAATGACAGTCTGCCAGTATCTGTAGATTTTGGAATTTCTATTTTCATTCATGTGTGAGAGTTCTGGTTGTCTTTAAGTCCCACAAAAATAACACAGTGGAAATCAATTTAAGTCACAGAGCCAGAAATACAGATAAGTTAGATGGTCTCTTGAATGTTTCATCGGTGCCAAATATATTCTGTTAACTAAAAAAATAAATGAATTTGCCAAAAAATACTGGCCCACTGACCATGGGGCCTTACGGAACACACGAAGTGTTTGTTTGTGTGAAAGGGAAAAATACAAACAACTTACGTGAACGTGAGATGACCACGAGTTTAGGTTCGGGAAATCTGGGCCATGCACACATCACCAAACCTTCAATGGAGTAAGAGTAGAATGGACTCCTTGGAGGAGTGCCAAAGCTGAAAAGGAGGTATTATTGGTGTCAATTCTGTCTGTGGAAGAACCATAAAGCCCCTTGACGTGGATTCTCCCTCACATCCTGTACCTGAGCCTCTCACCATCCAAGCTCCTACCTCTACACAGTAAATTTAAAATTTACAAAGGCACTAAAATCTGCAAATCAGCACATTTTTTTCTTTCCTGTCCTTCTCTGTCTCTCTGGTTGCCTCTGTCTCTTTCTCTCACCCTCCCTCTCCCCTCCTGCCTCTTTTTTTTTTTTTTTAATTTTTGGAGATGGGGTCTAGCTGTGTTGCCCAGGCTGGTGTGCAGTGGCACAATCATGGCTCACTGCATCCTTAGACTCCCAGGCTCAAGCACAACCTCATCCTCCTGAGTAGCAGGGACTACAGGCGTGCACCATCATGCCTGGCTTTTTTTTTTTTTTTTAACTTTTTGTAGAGACAGGGTCTCCTGATATTGCCCAGGCTGGTCTCGAACTCCTGGGGTCAAGTGATTCTTCCACCTTGGCCTCCCAAAGCACTGGGATTACAAGGATAAGCTCGGCCTCTGCCTCTTTTTTAAATAAGGAGTTAATAACTGTCTGATGCACTCAACATACCATACCAGAATACCTGGTTTGTGGTGAGGCTTCCTCCAGGCTTTTGGAGTACAGAGAAATTTAATCACTTTCAATGAGCTCCACTTTGAGCAACTTTTATTTCTACGCTTGTTTAAACTAAAAGGAAGCCTCCATGCATGGCACAGGTGCAATGGTGCAACTTCCACTCTGTTGTCCAACACCCAGGGATTATGGAGCAATGGCTATGCCAGCCAGCTCCAGGCTAGAGCACAGCTGGATGTGCCAGATACTCCTGCTGCTGTCAGCTGTGACCTCAGCACTGGCAGCTTCTTTCTCCTAACACCCTAAAGCTTCAGGGTCTTGATCTTCAGTTTCTCCCTTTCCCTTTCCCTTTCCTTTTCCTTTTCCCTTTCCATTTCCTTTCCTTTCTCTCTTTTCTCTCTCTTTTTTTTTTGTTTTTTTATTTATTTATTTTTTGATGGAGTCTCACTCTGTCGCCCAGGCTGGAGTTCAGTGGCGTGATCTCAGCTCACTGTAACCTCCACCTCCCAGGTTCCAGTGATTCTCCTGCCTCAGCCTCCAGGGTAGCTGGGATTACAGGCACCCACCACCATGCCCAGCTGATTTTTGTATTTTTAGTAGAGACTGGGTTTCCCCATGTTGACCAGGCTGGTTTCAAACTCCTGACCTCAGGTGTTGTGCCCGCCTCAGTCCCCCAAAGTGCTGGGATTACAGGTGTGAGGCTACGCACCCGGCCAGCTTCTCTCTTTTCTAAGGCTGAATTGCAGGAATCACCTCTCTGCCTCCACATTTCTACCATTCTCTCTTCCCAAGTCACCAAACCCATTCCATATCATTATCCACAGTCCATTCTTACCAGAGCAAGATAAGACCTTGCCACTGTGGGGCCATTAAGACCAAAGCCTTATTCTCTGTTTAGCTCCTGAAGGCATTTGAGTTTGTGAACCAACAGCAAAAAATCTAAAAAATCAATACAAGAAGACCATTTTCCTTTTATGATAAGGAGACAGACGGGAGTCTATTAAAACATACAAAGGATGATAAATAGGATAATGGTGCAATCTGATGACCTGAGATAATGCAATGACTGTGGACCTACTGTTATTCAGTCTGCCTGAGATTAAAACTTACTCTAAAAATTATATGCTTTTGAAACTCCCATAGATAAAACTTTTATTTATTTGTTTGTTGAGATGGATTCTTGTTCTGTCGCCCAGGCTGGAGTGCTCTGGTGCAACCTTGGTTCACTGTAACCTCTGCCTCCCAGGTTCAAGCAATTCTCCTGCCTCAGCCTCCTGAGTAGCTGGGAATAAAAGTGCGCACCACCATGCCCAGCTAATTTTTCTATTTTTAGTAGAAACAGAGTTTCACCAGGTTGGCCAGGCTGGACTGGTCTCAGACTCTTGGCCTCAAGTGATCCACCTGCCTCAGCCTCCCAAAGTTCTGGGATTAGAGGCATGAACCACCATGCCTGGCTGAAAAACTTTTATTTTTGATTTTGTTTTTTATTTCACTTATTTTTAGGCAGAACATTAGTTGAATTCATTAAAATACATTTAAACAACATGAATTCAGGTAAATCACTGATTAGTAACCATAATTTCCCTCTTAACAGCTAATTCTTAAAGAATGCTTACTATTAACTTCTTTAATCTCACAAAAACCTTTTGAAGTAAATATAAATATTATCTGCATTTTGCAGAGGAAGAAACTGGAGATTAGTGAGATTAAGAAACAGCTTTTAAATTGGAAAACCAGCTGGAATCCAGGTCTCTTTGGGCCAAAACACAACTGCTTAATCTTCTTTGCTGCCTCTTCATGTGTAGATAACAGATTCAAAAAGCAGAAAAGGGTAGATTTGCATTGTAGCATTGGAATTCTTATTGCAATAATTGTTCAATTGCACAATACCCCCCAAAAAGTGCAATCTGTGTTCATGCTACTACTCTATTGATATAAACTCTTTTGAAAGAATTTCATAAATCTGAATACCAGTTGTTGAAATGCTTGACTTTTTAACATTTGAACGAATAGATTAATTTTAATGAGTTTATTTTTACCTGTCTAAATTGGTAAACATTTAGGTTTTCTGACTTTCTTTGTCTCTGAATATTTTTTCCAGGGTCAACGTCTTTTTGAAAAGTTGCTCCAGCTGACTTCGCAAAATATTGAAATCAAGCTAGTGAGTGATGTAACAGCTGATTCAAAGGTATTAGAAGCCTTGAAATTAAAGGGTAAGACCAAGGTTGATATGCTATTCTACCGCTGGGTGTTCTGTTAAGATACCTTTAATTTCACTTAAAATAATATATAATTTCTTTATGGTTAGTACATTTCACTTAGTACATAGTACATTTACATCTTTGAAAAATAACTCGATTAAAGTTTTTGAGTGGAGGAACTAATTAATATATTGGGATTTAAAAAAACAGTTGCATATTAGTGTAAGCAAAATAATCTACTGGTCAATAAATGATGATTAACTGGAAAGAAGAATCTTACCCTTTCTGAACACTTCAACGGTGTGATTACAGAGAAGAACCACTTCGCGTCAGAATAGACACTGGATCTCTACTTTTCACTTGCCTGCCAAATGAAAATCCTTTTCACGCTATATATTTAAAAAATAATATAGTCAGGTCCTGGAGTCTATGAAACATTGCCTGATTCATGAGTTTAAAGACAATTCCACAGGAGAACACCATTTATATAGCCACTTTGCAGTTTTTCTCACAATCTCATGAAGACTGAAGATAATTCCAAAATAACTTTTTTTTATTTTGCTATAATGTCAACCGAATTGAGCTCTCACATCCAAATAGTTTTTACTGTTTTGTAAAAATTGTTCCCTGGAATTTATTATCCAAACTGTAAGCCTCTAAAAGGAAAAGGCGTGTTTGAGCCAGTGAAAATGTTCAAGCTGCCGGACGTCCCTAGAAGAGGACAGGGCACTGACCTCAGTGAGTCATTCATGTTCCACCTGATGGCGTTACAGCTCATGTTTGTGCTGTTTAAACATACTGTGCCTTTTTTGCTTGTCGTCTTCCCCACATTTTTAAGTGGCAATTCCTTCTAAGAATGGAACAGAACAGGAATCAAATAAGTGAGCCCCAGCGGCCCTTCCTCCTGAAGAAGAAAAATTGGAAGTGATAAAGCATATTGAAAGTCATTACCACATAGAAGACGTAAGCTTGGCCATGCACATGTACCTACCACCATGCACATGTTTTCTATGCACAGGAAAATAAAACATGAGATAATCGTATGTTTGAAAAGCTGTGCTGTGCTACTTGGGTGCAGCAGAATGTCTTTGAAAAACTTGTAAGTGCCCAGTTCAGTGGATTGACAGATACAATCAACGTGGCTTAGAAATGTATTCTTACTTTTCCTATTTTTTAAAAATGTAAAATTGGGTTCTCACTATCTGATAATTTGTTAGAGAACACTTTTTTTTTTTCTGAGGAATTGATTACTTTTGGTTAACCGAGGGTCCTGTATTTGCAGATGATTTTCCTTATGGAGTTTCCTAGCATCTCTTTGGGTTTGATTATCCTGGCAGGATAAAAAGCTGATGTGTTAGGAAGAGAAGGAGGGAGCCCGAGACATCCACAGCTCTCTTTCTTGCCATAGCCCATGCTAAAGCTTGTAAACTCAACCAAAAGTTAAAGCTTGGGGATATTAGGAAGCCTAACAGATTTTCTTTGGAGTTGCTGAATATTTGCTACTGTAAACAGCAAATAGTGATTGACAAATGCACGAATAAAGGCCTGGTTTACATTTCTATTGTGAACTATATGTTAAAATTTCATTATAGTAATTGCATCTCACAGAAAAAGAAGTGTTTGAATTTCCAAGCATATGTAGATACTACTACAACTTAGATTCTGTTGAAATATAATAAGACTTCTTATCAAAACACGAAAACAAATGATTTTCCTTCATAGGAGTAAAGCAATGAACAGGACCCTAATTTCTCATAGCTATTTTCTAGGTAGTGATGGTAGGCCTCTCTGGCTCTTAGGGATGCACATGATGTGTATACTGTATGTAGAACATGTATAAGTCTTTAGAATACAGTTATTGTATTTCTCTACTCTCATCCTTTGGTAGACATATATTAAATGATCACAGTGCATTTTAGAAATAATTTTTATGAGACTATTTTAAATCTGTGATTGAATATCTTGCTTAAGGGTTATCTTTTTGCAGGGGAGGGATTCTAGTCTTTTAGCAAAATTCTAGAAAGTTTTTTCCAGAAATATCCCACGAAAAAAATAGGTAAATATAAAATAAGCCATGAGCAATTTCAGCTGCAAGAGTTACTGAATATAGAAACTAATCAAATATATTGTGAAAAAGAATAAAAGTAGGGCTTCCCAGTAAATGACAAAGATTTAGTGCAGGTGTAAGGAGGCCCAGAAAAAGGCCAGGCAGGCTGGAGAAGTGAGACAGCTGGCCAAGGCCCTTCTGACGGGTGGTGTGCAGGTCATTCCTGTTCCTTTTGCTCCCCATGCTTTGCCTCTCTCCTTGACTCAGAAGTCAGAAAGATAAACCATCTCTCCAAGGTCTCAAACTGTGGCTTGGAGGTGAGGTGCTTTTGAAACCTAGCCCTCATGAAGTCCTTGCACCCAGGGAGGGATTTAATTTTACACAAGGGTCCCTGTAAATTCAAAATGGGTTTTATTAATCAGTTTTCTTAATTTCACTTCCTAACCATCTCCACCTGTATCCCTCATATAAACATCTCAAATGCAACATGTTGACTCAGCTCACATGCTTTCTTTCCCTCCCTGCACCAACACAGCATCTGTCCCTATACCTGAATTTCCATGTGCTCAGTCACTCATGTTAGAAACTCAACTCCACGCTCTCGTACGCCACATCTAATGAGCCATGGTCTATAGACTCTATCCCCCCGTCTTTCTTCTAGATACCACATTTCCTCCTCACATACCTGCCTTATTTCAGGTCTCTTAATACTTTGCTTAAGCCTTTGTCACCTTTCCTCTTTCACCATCTGATCTTCCACACAGCTACCAAAGAGATCTTCCACCACATGGTTATTATCACCTTACGTGTTCCCCCAAATTGCATGCAGGTGTGAGGATGCCTGAGGAATATCATGCATGCAATAAAAGGCACAAGTATTAAATATATAGCTCAATGAATTTCACAAAGTAAACACATCCACATAAAACCGTCACGGGTCAAGATGTAGAACGTTGCAGACATCTCAGAAAGCCTTCTCAGTCCCTCTTGCAGTCAGTGCCCTCCGCAGAGGGAACCACTATTTCGACCTCTACCATAGATTACCTTTATCTTTCTTTGAGCTTTATATAAATAGAATCACAGAATTCTATATCTGGATTCTTTGGCTGAGTTTTATGTTTATAAGACCAATACATGTTGGATACAGCAGTGGTTTATTTTACATTGTTGTATAGTATTCCATTTTATGAATATAATACAGTGGATCTGTTCTACTGATAGATGTTTGGGTTTTTCCTAGTTTGGGTTATTACATATAATGCTGCTATGAGCATTCTTGTACATGTCTTTCAGATGCCTACACATATACATTTCTGTTCAGTATGAACTTAGGATTGGGATTGCTGACATAATAGGCTATATATGTGTTCGATTTCGATAGATACGGCCAGTCAGTTTTCTAAGTGGTTGTACTAATTCACACTCTCACAAACACTATGTTAATGTTCTGTTTGCTCCACATCCTTGCAAAATTTGGCACCTTGTTTTATTTTAGCCATTCCGGTGGATACGTATCATGTTGTATCTTTAATATTCATTTCTCTGATGGCAAATTATATTGAGCATCTTCTCATATGCTTATTGACCATTTCCATATTCTCTTGGAGAAGGTGCCTCTGCAAGTATTTTGCCCAGTGTTATTGTTGTTTTAATTGGCCCATTCCTATTGATTATTAGGCTAGATTTGAATCCTTTGTTGGATATATGTATTTCATATATCTTCATCCATTTGAGGCTTATCTTTTCACTCTTCCAAGGATGTGTTTACATAAATGGAAATTCTTAGTTTTAATGAAATCTGATTTATTAATTACTCCCTTATTGTTGATGCTTACTGCATCCTGTATACAAACTATTTATCATCACAAGGTCATGGAGATTTTCTTGTTTGTTGTGTTCTAGATACTATATTATTTTGCTGTTCAGATTTAAGTCTGTGTTAAGTTTGGACTTTATTTCTGCTTATGGTATGAAGTAGCAGTAAAGGTTCATTTTTATACTTACGGAGGGTCGTTCGTTTAAAAAAGTTTCTTCACTGCATGTTCGAGGCATCATTGTTAAAAATTAGGTGACTGTATTTTAGTTCTGTCTTTGAATTCTTTACCGTATTTTCTCAGTCTACTTGTTTATCCCAGGACCAATGCCATACTGTTTACCTTGCCTTTATAATATGTGTTACAGATGGTGGAACTTTCATCTTTGTTTTTCACTTTTAGAACTGCCTTAGTTATTCTTGGACCTTCAGGTTTTGAAACAAATTTTAGAACCGTCTTATCATAAAACTACTGAAATTGTATTAGAATTACACTGACTCTGTAGATAAACTTGGTGAAAATTGACATGGACAATATTGAATCTTTTACTTCATGCCTATAGCAAAGCTACAATATTTCCTCTTACTACTGCTTTAGCTGCATCTATTTTTAATATGACATAAATTTCTAAATTAGTTTTCTGTCCAGAAAGTTTTCTGATTTCTACTGCAGTCTACTCTGTACTGTGGCCTATTTAGAAATGTAATCCTTAATTTTCAAACGTTTGGAGATTGTTCTATTTATCCTTTGTTATTTTCATTATGTATGTTCATAGAATATACTTGGTATGATTTCAGTCATTTGGTATTTTTAGAAAGTTACTTTACAAAAATTTATTTAAATAAATTTGTTTTATAAATATCAAGGCTTTCCATTGCTTTCATACAGCTTTTCATTTTTGTTTTTGCATTTTGTCAACCCTTATAAGTCTAAAAGCTGAAAGTGGAGTGTAAGTGAAATAGCTTCTCATTGTCTGATACATGATCTTAATCGGTAGACTTCACAAACAAGCTAAATGAGATGTGAGATTGTCATTGAAATCCTCTGCTTTCTTCAAATCCGTATTCCTGAGGGATGTGCCACTTGCTGCCACCACTTGGCTTACAGGGAGTAATCGTGACAATTCTTTTTTTTTTTTTTTGAGACGGAGTCTCACTCTGTCACCCAGGCTGGAGTGCAATGGTGCCATCTCGGCTCACTGCAAGCTCTGCCTCCCGGATTCAAGTGATTCTTCTGCCTCAGCCTCCCAAGTAGCTGGGATTATAGGTGCATGACACCAGCCCTGGCTAATTTTTGTATTTTTAGTAGAGATGGAGTTTCACCATATTGACCAGGCTGGTCTCGAACTCCTGACCTCATGATCTGCCCACTTTGGCTTCCCAAAGTGTTGGGAGTACAGGCGTGAGCCACCCCACCTGGCCAACAATTCTCTTAAGTCCCGTTTTCTCTGCTCATGCCTCCCAGCAAATGCCTTTGATATCCTACTTCTCACCAAATCTAGTAATAGCCCAGTCATATTATTGAATTTTTATATTACTAACACAATTTTTATCTCTGGTTGTATATTCTAGTCCTAAGCAAAATATCCCTCAAGGATACCACTGTACTTTTAATTCTTGTATGTTATAGTTACTGTTGCAATTAAATTGAAAATTAAGAATTATTTGTCCACCAAAACCATAACAATTCATTGTACTTTCTATAATATGACTACAATATTTAATGCCTCTGTAGCCTAGCAACAATTAAAAATAAAATAAAGTCAGAAAATATCAATTTCCTTTTGAAAAAAAAAAGCAGGCTTTTATTTGTTCATGGTTGGATGATAAAATGATGAGTGAAATAAGTGTCATAGAAGATTTAGAATCAGTGACCTAGAAGTTAAGTTCACATTTTCTTTAAAAAATAAAATAAAATAATAATAAGGCATTTGAAACCATTTAGGATCTGAAATATCTCGTTTCAGTCTCATTCTTATTATTTACTATAATTGAGTTTTGAAGTATCTGAAAGCTAATTGTGATTTCCCAAATACAACCTACTTTTTCAGGGCTGTGTTTCTCAAAATATTGTTTTCCCTGTGCCTGAAATACCCTTATGTGTTTCCCTTGTCAATTTACAAGCTCTTTTTCATCCTTTTTAAAATTAATTTATTTTTTTTGAGAGAGAGAGAGAGAGAGGGGTGATGTCTTGCTCCATCACCCAGGCTGTAGTACACTGGCACTATAATAGCTCACTGCAGCTTTGAACTCCTGGGATCAAGTGGTGCTCCCACCTCAGCCTCCCCAGTAGCTGGGACTAGAGGCATGTGCCACCATGCCTGACCAAGTCCATTTTTAAGCCTTACACATAGTATTTTCCCTTTCACCTTCATCTCTTTACCCTGGTTGATCTTACCATCTACTTTTTCTCCATTGTTCATTAATATTTAATCCAACAATTGCTTCTTGACTATCTGTCATGTGCCAACAACTTGGGCTTTAAAGAGAGGAAGATGACTAAGACATGAGCCTTCCCCTAACTTCAAAGAGTTCAGAGTTTGGTAGAGAAAACCAAGCAATAAGTGAAATCAAGTGATCAAGAAATTCCTAAAACATCTACACAGAGTCCAATGTTTCTGAATCACTTTTTGCAACAGTGGTTGATGCCCATGCTTTCCACCCAGCATTGTCTCTGTACCACCAAGAGTGTCAACGGTGCTATGTAGCTTTAAGAAACAGAATGCATTACTGTTGTCTCTAATCAGAAGCTTGTTTTTGAAGCTTACCAGAATATGTCAAAGCAAGATATTCAGACAATAACCAGATCTTGTATTCTTTCCTCAAAGGGTCCTTAAATGGTTTGTTGACTGAATATTGGGAAACTTTAAGAGCTCTGTCATGCCACCAGGAATAATGCAGTGACAACTTTGTCACAACTTGTCACTTGGTCTGTAGCAATCGTAAGATGCATTGCAATGTCAGAGATGTTAAAATGTGAAGACTAAATGTTTCAGAATCAATGACTTAGAGTAATAAGTGTTATTTTAAAATATTTAGTAATAAACTAGAAAATTCAACTTAGAAACTTTAAACTTTAATAAGTTAATTAAGTTAAAATGACCATTCCTCATACCACACTGAGAGAGGTAGATTCTAAACTAAACCTCTTGCAACAGGGCTTCTTTATAGTGCAGTGACCATACTCAGTGGATGGAAATTCGGAGAATTCAGGCTGTGCTGGTTTTTAAGAAATGTGGGGGTCTTTACAGACCCCCTTGATGGCTAGAGCATTCAGTGATAGGAAGTGTGCCTATCCAAAAATATAAGCAAAAACTGCTCTATTACCTGAAACAGGAAGGAAGTTATTCAAATCGGTTTTTATATGCAATTTCTATAGGAAAACAATACAATGAAACCAGAAACCTGAAATACACTGGAGAAGAGACAGTCTCCTGGGATAGACAAGAAAGATATCAGAAATCATATTCCTAGCTATGCAGCGTGATGAATCGCAACCCAAGTGAAAAAAGAGGGGCTAATCATGAGAGCTTGGTTCTAAAAAGAAGAGGGATAGCAAACACGCAGTGGTAAACGTGACAGGCATGAAAAGGCCCAGGCGTTTGTTCCCACTGACATTATCTGCTAAGAGAGAGTGACCGTACAAACAACCAGTTTCACTTATGGGCTAAACTCTGTCACTAGGTGCTGTTTGGTCTTTAAAAAAAAAATAAATCTTTTAAATTGATTTTATCTGAAAAGTAAGTCACATATATTTATCATGTGCAACATGTTTTGAAATCTGTATACATTGTGGGATGGGTACATTGAGCTAATTAACAAATGCATTATTTCATATACTTATTTTTTGTGGTGAGAGCACTTGAAATCTACTTCCTTAGCAATTTTCAAGAATATAATCTTGTACGTTGTTATTAACTGTTATCACCATGTTGTACGGTAGATCGCTCCTTATTGCCAGTGATCAGCCCAATTACACAACCACAGAAAGAAATTCATCCTAGAGCTTGGGGACCTCCAGGCTGTGCCTCTTTCTCCTGATGGTCCAGCACACTGTGGGCTTGGGGTGTTAACACAGTCCTGCTCAGCTGGTGTTGCAAGCTTTCAGTCTGTTGGAATCAAACATGTATTTTCTTCCCCCTCCCTTCTCTCCTGCACACAGACCTATAAGTGATTAAACATAGAGCTTAGTCTGTGCCACCTATATATGTTTTGTGATAACTTTAAGGAGCTGATAACAAAACTTTTTTTTACAAGGTTTTGTTTTGTTTTGCCAGAGCATTCATGTGTCAAGAATTTTCTTTCCTTTTTGGGATTCTTCATATAGATAGTAGATACATAGATAGAAGGTAGGTAGATAGGTAGGTAGATAGTTAGATGACAGATAGAAAGATATAGATAAATGATAGATAGATAGATAGATAGATAGATAGATAGATAGATAGATAGAAGGTAGGTAGGTAGATATAGATAGATGATAGATAGATAGATGATAGAAAGAAGGTAGGTAGGTAGGTAGATAGATATAGATAGAAGACAGTAGGTAGAGATAGATTAGATAGATAGATAGATAGATAGATGAAAAAAGAAAGAGAAAGAAGAGGGAGAGAAAAGAAAGAAGATAGGAAGATAGATGGCAGATACACAGAAAGAAAGAAATAGATGACAGATACATAGAAAGATAGATATTAATAGATAGATAGATAGATAGATAGATAGATAGATAGATAGATAGATAGATGATAGTCTTAGTTCATTTGTGCTGCTGTAATAACTGAGACTGGGCAATTTATAAAGAACAGCCACTTATTTTTTCACAGTTCTGGGGTCTGGAAGTTTAAGATCAAGGCACCAGCAGGTTCAGTGTCTGCTGAGAGCTGCTCTGTGCTTCCAAGATGGCGCCTTGTTACTGCATCCCCCAGAGGGAACAAACGCTGTGTCCTCACGTGGCGGATAAGACAGAAGGGCACAAAAGAATCTAAGTTTGTTCCTTTCAACCCCCGCTACAAGACACCAATACATTCGTGACTCAGTCACTTTCCAAAGACCCCACCACTTAATACTGCCACAGTGGGAATTACGTTTAAACGAATGATTCTTGAGGGACATTCAAATCAGATAGAGAAATAGATCTTCAGATTTTTCTCCCCATGAGATTTTAAAATTAAATTTCTAGATTTCCCTATCTTTTTATCCATATTGTTTCCTTTCTGTTACTTTTTGTTTATAAAGGCAATACAAAGCATGCTCTTGGGGTGAACTCTTGGTCACAGTGACAGTGCTCAGCCCTCTGCATCCACTCATCTGCTCCCCTTGTGACTCAAGTCATACATTTGCTGAGTGACTGTCTCAGACACCCAGTTTAAAAGTGACCCCAACTTTCCCTCATTAGCACTATATAGCAAGTAAGTGAGCCAATTAGACAGAGCCTTACCCATATTAGTGAATAACCAATAGCCACAGGGACCTAATAAGCCCTGGCTGGGCATCTTTAGGTCATTTGGGTTACGATCCCACAAAGCATTGAACAATTGGTAGACGTTTAATTGGCCTTTACTCGTGACTAAATTTTATTCATTAAAGTCAAAATCTTAATTGAAATAAGACTAAATCTCTGTCACTCTTGTTAATAACACTGTATTTTTAAATCGTTGAGTTCTGGTGTTCTTTTAGCTACATTATTTTAAAAAGGACAGGGAGCTGCTGAATTCTTTCTGTTGAATTCTAAATGTGATCTTTGCCATTGCTTATTTAAATTTAAGAAAGCTGTACTCATTCATCATTGATAATCCATATTTTTATTTTCACATTCATGGATTAGGCTTAACAAAATCTTTGAAAGGGAAAATATATTCCTAAATCTGAGCATAGAAGCATGTGTAATTTTTTTTATTATACTTTAAGTTTTAGGGTACATGTGCACAACGTGCAGGTTATTTACATATGTATACACATGCCATGTTGGTGTGCTGCACCCATTAACTCGTCATTTAGAGCATGCGTAATTTTTTAAGTTAATGCAAGCTGCCCTAGTTTCCAACTCTGCATTTTACAAGGTGATTTTTGAACAGCTTACTCCAAATCAGTGGAGGATAGCTTATTGAGGCTTTTTTTACTTAGGTTTTACTGCTTTATAATTATTCCAAAATCTAACTCTACAAGTATGTATGCCTGTGTGTGCTAATTTAATGTAAGCCTTATAAGTATAATTTGGTAGTTTCCCTAGAGTAAACTTTATATTATTCTACCTTTCATTTCCACTGTCTGAAAGGTTGCCATCGTTAAGGAGGCTGAACATTTCAAGTGAAGGACAGTCCTCATGGTTATCATGAATGTGGAATCCTCTGGACAGGGGACTTATGAAGCTGCTTTGTATTGGGTCTGCTCTGGTAATGGCCCAGATGGAAGTCAGGGTGCCCCAACGGTCACCCCGGCATGCTTTTCCAATATGTGCTTTCATTTCACACCTTCTCAAAGCGAATGCCACTTGAGAGGCTCATGCTTGATTGCCTGAAGGCTGCTGCCTTTGTCCTATACGCTGCCGTCAAAGTGTATTGCAAGGGATTCTGTCTTCCACCTTTCTTCATAGCACACCAAAATATTTGGCAGCAAGGCAGAAACTTTTCATCCTATGCTCGTTTGGCCACATTATGCTTTTTAGTGATAATTAGCAGCGTAATTAGCATAATAACTAGGAACAGGTACTTTTGTGGCCCCGACCTTGTGCTGAAATTCTAAACTTGTCATTACTGTGTGGTGTAACCATAGGCCGGCACTTTCTCTGAGCCTCAGTGGTGGTGGTGGTGGTGGTGGTTGTTTGAGACGAATTTCACTCTTGTTGCCCAGGCTGGAGGGCAATGGTGTGATATTGGCTCACTGCAACCTCCACCTCCCAGTTTCAAGCGATTCTTCTGCCTCAGCCTCCTGAGTAGCTGGGATTACAGGTGCCCACCACAATGCCTGGCTAATTTTTGTATTTTTGGTAGAGATGGGGTTTCGCCATGTTGGCCAGGCTGGTGTTGAACTCCTGATCTCAGGTGATCCGCCTGCCTCAGCCTCCCAAAGTGCTGGGATTACAGGCGTGAGCCACCACGCCCAGCCTTTCCTTTTTTTCCTTTCTTTCTTTTTTTTTTTTTTTTTCAGTTAAATGAGGATAATAATAACCTCCCTGAGAGCTATGAGAATTAAATTAGATAATATATAAAAAGTGTCTGGTGCAGGTGCCTACCTCATAACGAACTGTTAGTAAATGACATCCACTATAGCTGTTGCCTTAATTTACCCAAGTGTGTACTATTTGTGTTTGACCTGTCAGTGCCACTAGACCAGACTGGATTTATTTTTGCTTCTAAATTACAAACCTAGATCTGTGATTTTCTGATGAAAGAAAAGCCCCGGTTTTAATCATACATTACAGATCGTCTTTGGGAATGCAGCTGGTTTGTTTGCCTGTATGGTTGTGCACTAACTCTTGCTGGCTTCAGTTTGTATTGGAATTGTTCAGCTGGTGACACCAGTGACTCCCCATCTGTGTTTTCCGTCTCTGTTCTAAGAGCTGCCCAAGTTAAGTCTGCAATTCAATGTGTTTAAACTTTCACAAGGGTTCATCTGATACATATAATATAGTCGTACCCATCTAAACACATAAAATCTAAACATTTGCTCTAAAACATAGAATCTTGTGCTACAGGTTTTATTTTTATCCCTAATACATAAGAACCTCAGCAGGAATAACATTTTCAAGGAAATTATATGCATATTCAACCTTGTGACAGGAGAAAAGCAGAATTTTATCTGTTTCATCTGGTTGTGGCTTTATGTATTTCTATTCTAGGGATGCTAGAATTTGGGGAGGATGTTCTTTAAGAGGTGAAGCGGCCGGGCGCGGTGGCTCACGCCTGTAATCCCAGCACTTTGGGAGACCGAGGCGGGCAGATCACGAGGTCAGGAGATCGAGACCATCCTGGCTAACACAGTGAAACCCCGTCTCTACTAAAAATACAAAAAATTAGCCGGGCGTGGTGGCAGGCACCTGTAGTCTCAGCTACTTGGGAGGCTGAGGCAGGAGAATGGCGTGAACCCCAGGGGGCAGAGCTTGCAGTGAGCCAAGATCGCGCCACTGCACTCCAGCCTGGGCGACAGAGCGAGACTCCGTCTTAAAAAAAAAAAAAAAAAAAAAAAAAGTGAAGAGAGGCTGGGTGTGGTGATTCACACTTGTAATGCCAGCACTTTGGGAGGCTGAGGTGGGAGGATCATTTGAGCTCAGGAGTTCCACCCTGCAGTGAGCTGTGATCGGTGAGCTATGATCCACCACTGTACTCCAGCCAGGCGATAGAGTGAGACCCTGCCTCAAAAAAAAAAAAAAAAAAAAAAGGGCCATACACGGTGGCTCACGCCTGTAATCCCAGCACTTTGGGAGGCCAAGGCAAGCGGATCATGAGGTCAGGAGTTTGAGACCAGCCTGAGCAACATGGTAAAACCGTGTCTCTACTAAAAATACAAAAATTAGCCGGGCTTGGTGGTGTGCACCTGTAATCCCAGCTACTCGGGAGGCTGAGGCAGGAGAACTGTTTGAACTCAGGAGGCGGAAGTTGCAGTGAGCTGAGATCACACCACTGCACTCCAGCCTGAGTGACAGAGTGAGAGTCCATCTCAAAAAAAAAAAAAAAAAAGGCACTGAAGAGGAATAAAGATATAAATAAATGAATAAATGGCAGTCTTTCAGAAAGTCCTTATAATTCCGAGGGATCCCACGGTCAGCATTTTTAGCCAGTAGCTTTTCTATTTTTTTCAGTCCCAAACAGAAAAGCTAGTTGCTAAAAATACTGATCATGGGATCCCCAGAATCATAAGGGCTTTCAGAAGCCCTCGTCTCCACATCTATGTTCACACATCCACGTGTATGTTCTGAAGGGTACTAGAGACTTTTTTTTTCTTTGTTGTAGAGATAGTCTTGTTATGTTGCCCAGGCTGGTCTCGAACTCCTGGGCTCAAGCCATCCTCCCACCTTGGCCTCCCCAAGTGCTGGGATTACAGGTGTGGGCCACCATGACTGGCTAGAGACATATTGTCTTCTGACAGAGCAGTTCCTGCCTTGCCTGGAGTAGCCAGACAGAGAATATTCATTATCCTCATGAGTGAGTAAGATCCCTTACTTCTGTGACTCCGTGGACATCCCAATTGCACCTGCTTTTTAAATCAATGTCACGAGAACTGGTGTGAGTTAAGATGCCAAGCTCTATTTCTGTTCTTCCTAGCAGGCTGTTCAGCATGAACCTTGGCCATGGCCTATTATTTTTGTGCCCACCTTCTTCCCATACTATATTTTATCTATTTTTTTAGCTCATTTCCTTCCATCCCTTTCTCATGCTTGGTAATTCAACTAACTTCCTCCTACGTCATACACAGGAAAAGGTATTCCAAATACTCACAGCTATACTCACACTCTATGTCTCCTAACCAACATCTTTCCTCTCCATAAGATCATGTCTCTTACTTACTGAACATAACAAACAAACAAAACTAGAGGCTATCAGCCTGGGACTCTCCCATCACAGTGCTCTATCCCAGTACATTTTCCATATCTACATGCATCTCCATCTCCTTTCCTTCAACCTCAGGAGGTTATCTCTGATTCTCTTCCAAGGCTAACTCTTCCACCTGAGACATCTGGTCCCACTTTTTCAGGAATTTCAGTCAAGTTTTTTTCTCTCTTACCTTTACATTTACCCTTTGCCTTTTAAATGGCTCTCTCCCCTTAATGTATAAACACACTCAAGTCAATGAGGGGAAAGGAAAAAGAACTTGGCACTATCCATCCTAGATCCCCTCTGGCAGGTGTTCCCCACCCAATGCCTGCCCTTTTCTCCATGTTCAGGTTTATGCACCACTGGTCCTACCCCTGTGCAGTCCTCCAACTGCGGCAGCCCGGCTCTGCCCTGACTCCACTGAAACTACCTTGTCAAAGTCCCGGAGGACTTCCAGGTATGGAACTCGGTGGGAATATCTTAGACCTTGTATCACATGACCTTTCTTCAGCTTTGAACACTATGTACTGCTTTTTTCTTTTCCTTGGAACTGTCTAGTCCCTTGGTTTCACTCTGTATTTCCCTTCTGTCTCTGGCCACGCTTTCTCAGTCTCTTTTGCCAATTTTGAATACACTATCATTCCCTTAAACATTGGCTTCTTCTCTTCTTTCTCTTCCTCTTCCCTTCTCTTCACTTTATTTACTCTTGCTGCATTGATTGCTTCTGCTTCTGTGGCTTCATTCATCACCGATATGCAGATGGCCCACACATTGTTTTTCCTAAGTTCCAGGCACAAATATTCAACTGCAAACTTCACATTTCCTCTTGGATATTCACGGAATACCTCAAAATCAATGTATCCAAAATGAAATGGATGCACCACCCCCACCTGGCCCTCCATGTTCTTCTTCCATTAAGTTTTATCTCAGTAAATGACCTGACTATTTTTTTATTTGCCCCGCAAAGAAACCTAGAGCTAACCTTGATTTCCTTCTCCTCCTCCAACCTTCAAAATCAAATCAGTCTGCACTTCTACATGTGCAGTCTTAACATTTCTGGAAATAGTTCTCCTTTTCCCTCCCTCCCTCTACTACTCTAACTTAGGCCTTTATCATTTCTCTGGAATGACTGCAAATGACATCCTAACAGTTTTTCCTGACTCCAATGTTAACTATGTTCTATTCTCCACACTGAATGAGGCTCCTAAAAGTCAGTAAATTCTTCCTGTCCCTTCCTTGCTTTACCAATTTTTTGGCGGCTTGCTGAATGTTTTATTTGAATGTATTATTTTATTATGTATTAGGATAAAGTAGTACATAACTAGTACATCAAACACATTATTTTATGATTAGTAATACTTGGAGCAAAGCTAAGAATGTATCGATTTAAATTTAAGTGTAATTAAGTAAATAATAGCACTGGTCTAGAAATAGAATTGGTTAAAAAAAATAATATGGAACTCAAATGGCAGCAGAGACATTCCAAAGTTCTCATCAAGGTTTCCCCAGGAGGCCTCTCCCACCTCCCTCCAAGCTGAGCCGTCTGCCCTTCCCCATTCCCCTTCACCTTCCAGGGCTTCCCTCTCTCTGAGCATCCCTGCACTGTAATGCGTGTTTCTACCTCTAGACTTTAACCTTAATGAGGGCAAGATGGAGACTTGACTGACATGTGTGTAGGCAATAAATAAATGTTAGTTGAATAAACAGTGCAAGCTTTGGGTGTATAAAGCACTACATAGAGTACACTTCAAATTTCCCAGATTTCAGGTTGAGCCTTGATTTTTATAACACTGAGTATACCGTTTTTCTCTGGGAGAGACTAAGCAATGTGGCAAGTGACTGAATTTAAAATCAGGAGATTTAGAAGGGTTTAACAACTTTGTTCTGACATGGTTGGGACCTAGAAGGTGGTGAAGGAATAACTTTCTTCATATGAAGGGAACCATGCTAGAAAGGAATTTCTTTATAATTAAAGCTTAGGATGGTTCTGAAATGTTATGCTAATTAGTAATTGATGGTACGAGCATTTTGAAAGCATAGAATGGTATATCAATGCTAATTTTCATGGAAATTTAGATAGTATCTGTCTCCTAATAGAAAATAGCACTTGAAAGTGACATTGAAAATGGCATTTGAAAGGTTGATATAATTCAGACTACTTTGGTTAATGTTTCTGTTCCTTTAATAAGCTCCAATGGAGATCAGAAATAAGAACATTTTGAATGTTTTTTTCTACATTATTTTTTCTGGTCATTTGCCCAGTTAGATGATGGAGTATGGATCATACTTAGGAGAATATGTGCAGTTTGCTGAGGTGTTCTAAGTTCTTCACTCATCCATATGGCTAATTAACCCAAACTTGGGCAGAGGTATTAAGTGATTTCCTTCTCAAGAAAAAGTCAAGGGTATTAATGTTTCACTACCCCCTGGTTGTTTTTTGCTCCCTCCCTTTTAACTTTCTTTGAAAGATGATTTGAAGGTGTTTTCGTCCATTTTGTGTTGCTATAACAGAATATCTGAGACTGGGTAGTTTATAAAGAACAGAAACTTATTTGAGACTGGATAATTTATAAAGAACAGAAATTTATTTCTCACAATTCTGAAGGCTAGGATGTACAAGATCAAGGTGCTGGCATCTGGTGAGGACCTTCTTGCTGTACCATTTCATGGCAGAAGGTGGAAGGGCAAAAGAGGACCAGTCCTGTCTGTGAAGTCCCTTTATAAGGCCATTTAATACAATTCAAAAGGGAGGAGCCCAATGGTTTAAATACCTCTTAAAGGCCCCACCAACAGTGGGGCCAACAATACTATCACATTGGCCATTTAGTTATGTTTAGTTTTGTTTTGAGACAGAGTCTCACTCTGTTGCCCAAGCTGGGGTTCAGTGGTGCCATCTTGGCCCACTGCGACCTCTGCCTCCCGAGTAGCTGGGATTACAGGCCTGCACCACCACACCCGGCTAATTTTTGTATTTTTATTAGAGGTGAGGTTTCACCATGTTGGCCAGGCTGGTCTCAAACTCCTGACCTTAGGTGATCCGCCCGCCTTGGCCTCCTAAAGTACTGGGATTACAGTCATGACCCACCAAGCCCGGCTGGCCATTTAGTTTTAACACCTGAATTTTGGAGGGAACATCTTCAAACTGTAGCAGAGGGAGTGTGGAGATACACAATTTTGTAGGCTTATTAAGGAAACTGATAAATTATGGTTCCTCTTGAGGAAAGAGTACATGCTACCAACCTAAAAGGAAGAGGCTGATGCACAAAATATAATTTGAAGAGTTTACTTGAGCCAAAGTGAGGGCAGCTGCCCAGAAGACTTAACTAACCTTGGATATGAGCTCCCTTCAGCCTTTGTTACAAACAGGCTTTTAAAGGCAAAAAGGGTGACAGACTAGGCTGATACAAAGTTGTTTGTCAGGAATTCTCTTTGGTTTGCAGAAATAACATTGATCAGTGATTGGCTATTCTTTTTTTTTTTGGTGTGGTATTTTAAATGTCATTTTCTTTTTTTTTAAATATACTTTAAATTCTGGGATACATGTGCAGAACATGCAGGTTTGTTACATAGATATACACATGATTGGCTGTATGTTTTTAAGCTATAGGATGTGGGTTATAGTGTCCAGTGTGACATTATTAGGTTAATGTACAGCTGTTTATGGCAATAGTAAGCGGTTTCAAGAGATGAATACATAGCTTAAAGTGGGGAGTTACAACATGATTGCTGTCTCGTTTTCATGCCTTCCCCAGCCTGATAATTTAAAAGGACTTGCCTTCCTCAGATAAAAGAACTTTGCTTTCTTCAGTGCAAAGTAACTATATAACAAAATATAAAATAACTGCATAATAACCATATAACCATGAGGAACAAAAGATAACAGTAGTTCAACAAAAGCTTTAATCATAGTTATACCAACTTGATAAAAAGCAGCAAGACCAGAGGTGCTACGAGTCACGGTGTGATTTGTGCCATTGGATGGTCATGGCCTCAGTGAAGACAAGACTCAGTTGGGAAGAGATTCTGCTTCAGCCAGTCCTTTATTCTGCAGGCCTATTGCCTTCAGGTTGCCACAGCAGCTGCTCAGAGTTAGGTTCACAAAGATTATGTACAAAGACGTACACTGCAGCACGGTTTTTAGAATTAAACAGTGGATCATCCACATGTTGGAATACCAATCATCCAAAAATCACATTGAAGGAGAATAGCCACTGTAAACTAGAAGTAAAATCCCAAGCCCCCCAGCCTGCTGAACGGAGCCCCTCTTAGCCAAGGGGACCCCCAAAAAACCTGAAAAACTGAGTTATTGGCTGTGATGAGAACGGAGGTCAGACACAACTCATGTCCTCCTAGAAGTTAGGCACAAGTGACCAGCATTAAGGTTAAAATAGAGATCATAAGACTGACAAAATAGACTCTTTGTGACCATAAGATACAGAATTATAAACAAGACCTAAGGCCATGCAAGGCAAGGGTTAAGTCACACCCTGTGAACCATAAAATCTCATTAAATGGGTTTTTTGTAATGACCCAGTATAATGTGACTTACTGTCCAACCTGACTCTGGTACAGCCTCACATGACAGCAGACTCCCTTCTCTTAAGCATTTCTTTCTACTGACGTCAAGGTTTCACACAAAGCTTAACTCTTTCAACCAATTGCCAACTAAAGAATCCCTAAGGCCGGGCGCGGTGGCTCACGCCTGTAATCCCAGCACTCTGGGAGGCCGAGGCGGGCGGATCACGAGGTCAGGAGATGGAGACCATCCTGGCTAACACAGTGAAACCCCGTCTCTACTAAAAATACAAAAATTAGCCGGGCATGGTGGCGGGCGCCTGTAGTCCCAGCTACACGGGAGGCTGAGGCAGGAGAATGGCGTGAACCCGGGAGGCGGAGCTTGCAGTGAGTCGAGATCGCGCCACTGCACTCCAGCCTGGGCGACAGAGCGAAACTCCGTCTCAAAAAAAAAAAAAAAAAAAAAAAAAAAGAATCCCTAAAACCCACCTATGACTCATAAGCTTCCACTTCAAGGGTCTCACTTTTTCACACTGAGCCAATGTATGCCTTCCATGTATTGATCTGTGATTTCACCACAATTCCTGTCTCCCTAAAATGTATAAAACCAAAGCGTAACCTGACCACTGCAAGCACGCTTTCTCAGGACGTCTTGAGACTGTGTTCCCCAGGCTATGGTCACTCAGATTGGCTCAGAATAAACCTCTGTAAAATACTTTACCGAGTTTGATTTTTTCCTGTGAACACCACCAACAAGGGGAAAATCTTTAGATTATGTTGCTAAGTGAAAAGCAGTAGTCTACAAAACAGAAGCTATTGTGTTATTTCATTTTTATTCAAAGATAATCTAGTTTTACACATGTGAAAACATCTGTAAAGTGTTAATAAGGGTTACCTTTGAGTGATGAGATTATAGCTGATTTTGCTTTTGTGTGTGTGTGTGTGTGTGTGTGTGTGTGTGTGTGTGTTGTCTTTTCTATGCAAGTATAGGGTGGGGGCTGAAAACTCAGATTCTGGAGTGGGAATATGTACTTGGCTTTGTCACTTGTGTGACCTCTGTGAGTTATTTATTTATTTATTGGAGACAGGGTCTGGCTCTGTTGCCCGGGCTGCAGTGCAGTTATACAGTCCTAGCCCACTGCAGCCGTGAATTCCTGGGTTCAACAGATCCTCCTGCCTTAGCCTCCTGAGTAGCTGGGACTGCAGGCACATGCCATCATGCTTGGCTAAGTATTTTTTTTGGTAGAGATGGGGGTCTCACTGTGTTGCCAGGCTGGTCTTGAACTCCTGGCCCCAAGTGATCCTCCTGACTCAGTCTCCCAAAGCACTGGAATTACATTTCTGTGAGTTATTTAACCTCTTGAAACTTCAGTCTCCTGATTTCTACAATGGACTAATAATAGTAGCTACTGCCTAGGGTTATTCTGAAGATTAATGAGATAATAAAGTATTTAACATAGTACCTGGCACGTGATAGGTACTTTAAAACATTTTTCAAAGAAACTTGGGCGTATGGTATAAGGAGGGAAATGCTGTGAAGGAAGGAAGAAGGGGGGCTGTGAGTTCACTTTGTAAGTGCTGCCTTAAGATGCAAACCAGTGGTGGGTCTACCTGGTGAGAAGCCACAGTACTGGGCCCCACTAACACCAGAACAGTCTTTCTTGCTCAGCAAATCTGTGCTTGGAATATGCAGCCTAAAGAACAAATTCCCATTCCCACCCCCGATTCTCCCAGGGAAATTTCCTCATTTATATCCTAAAGGGCTTCTCAGCTGAAAATGCCAACTTATGAATGTTGAATGTGAATGACTCAAAACTACCAATGGATACTAAATCTTTCATGTAGTTTTGAGGAGGAGGTGTGCAGAGATAGGACCTAACTCACTCTGACAGGCTTGAGAATGGGTCTGTGCTTCCTCCTGAAGCCAAACTTCTGCTTTCTCCAAGGAGCCTACGCCGCTGCATCCCCACACGCTGTGCTGAACAGGCAAGCGCTTGATTTGAGGCTGTTACAGTGAACAAAGAGGCTGATGAATGAATCTAATTATGCACGAAGCAAAGCTGATGAGAAGGCAAATGCCAGCTTTTGAAAATGAAGTCTATGCTTCTGTGTTCCCTTAAGCAAATTTCCTATAATTATGCCTCAGTCAAGATTGTTCATGCTTCAGTTTGGGAAGGCATTATTGAAAGAGTAGCACCTTTACTCTGGTTTGATGTTTCCTTACATGTAAATTGTGCTTATCTTTTAAATTAACCTTCTCTAAAAGGCTCCTTTTTTTTCTTTTCCTAACCCACAGAAGTCAGTATTACAGTGGTTCAAGTCTGAAAAACTTGAAGGTTTTATATAATACTGGAAAAACAACAGCATGGTAATGTACTTGGCACATGCCTGAGGCTCCCAGCATAATCAGTATTGACAAAACTTACTCATAAGCTGAGTGGAGTTTTAAATGATTTAGTTTAAGATTGTAAAATAACTCAATAACATTTCGGAAGTCATAAGTGGCTAATTAGGTCTCTGAGTTCTATTTGAGTTTCTGAGTTTGGCATCCATCTTATTCTAATTTGGAAACTTAGGTAGAACTTTATTTTCTGATTGGTTGTTACTGAGTCTTGCTTAGAAAAAGATAGCTTTGTCCAAGTCTGCTCATGATTCAGAAGTTTATACACATTCAACAGACAGTTGTTGACCACCTATGAAGGCATCATGAGAAGTTGAG